>NC_000012.12:75793461-75944976 GCF_000001405.40 Homo sapiens
ATCTTCATGAACTGGAAGACTTCATATTGTTCAGATGGTAATACTATTAATCTATAGATTTAACACAATACCTATGAAAATTCCAGCTGCCATTTTTACAGATATTAACAAACCAATTCTAAAATTTATATGAAAACACAAGCAACCTAGCATAGTCTAAAGAAATCTTGCAAAAGAAGAGTACAGTTAGAAGACTCACACTTTTGGATTTTAAGTTACATAGCTGTAACTTAGCTGTAATCATCAAACTTTTGCTACTGTCATAAAGATAGATATATAGATCAACAGAAAAGAATTGAAAAATCTATAAATAAACCTGTACACTTATGATGAATTGATTTTCAACAGGGGGTTCCAGGATCATTCAATGGGGGAACTAATAGCCTTTTCAACTGCTATTGGAACAGCTGGCAATCCACATGCAAAAGAATGAATTTGGACCCCCAACCTCAAATCATATCCAAAATTAACCCAAAATGGATCAAAGACCTAAATGTAGAAGCTAAAACTACAAAACTCTTGGAAGAAAACATACGTGTAAATCTTCATGGCCTTTTGAGTTCAGCAATGGTTTATTAGATGTAACACCAAAAACATGAGCAACAAGTTAAAAAATAGATAAATTAGACTACATTAAAATTTAAAACTTTCATACTTCAAAGGACACCATCAAGAAAATGAAAACCCACAGAATTGGAGAAAATATTTACAAATCATATATCTGATAAGGACCCATATTCAAAATATGTGACGAACCCTTACAACTCAAGCATAAAAGACAAATAATGAACAACCTAAAAATAAAATTAAGGGAAATTAATCAATTTATAATAGCATCCAAATGAATAAAATACCTAAAAATTTTGAAAAAGAAGAGTGAAATTAGAAGACTCACCCTGCTGAATTTTAAAAGTTTCTACCTAGCTAT
Organism: Homo sapiens; assembly: GCF_000001405.40. Lineage (NCBI taxonomy): Eukaryota > Metazoa > Chordata > Mammalia > Primates > Hominidae > Homo > Homo sapiens. The sequence continues at coordinate 75,794,390 of NC_000012.12, forward strand.
AATCATCAAAATTTTGTTACTGTCATAAACATAGACATAGGTGAAAAGGATATAATGTTTAAACAAGCAAAGGATATAAAAGGGCATTTCTCCAAAGAGGATATACAAGCGTCCAATAGGCACATGAAAAGATGCTCAACGTTTATCATTAGAGAAATAAAAATCAAAACCATGAGATACTACTTCACACACACTAGAATGGTTAAAGTAAAAAAGCCAGACAATAAGAATTGTTTTCAAGGATATGGAGAAATTTGAACTCTCATACATTACTGGTGGGAATGTAAAATATTTCAGCTGCTTTAGGAAATGGTTTGACAATTCCTCAAAAAGTTTACCAGAGTTACCATGCGTGTAGCAATTCTATTCCTAGGTATATGCCCAAGAGATTTCAAAATATGTTCATAGTAGCATTACTCATAGTAACCAAAAAGTAGAAACTAGAAATCCAGTTTACCAGCATATCACTGCTTAAGAGTCTGGGCTGCCTTTGGAATTAAAGAGAGCTAGCCTTGGGAGGCCAAGGCAGGTGGATCACCTGAGGTCAGGAGTTCTAGAACAGCCTGGCCAACATGGTGAAACCCCGTCTCTACTAAAAATATGAAAATTAGCCAGGCGTGGGGGTGCACACCTATAATCCCAGCTACTCAGGAGGCTGAGGCAGGAGAATCGCTTGAACCCGCGAGGCAGAGACTGCTGTGAGCCGAGACTGTGCCACTGCACTTCAACCTCGGCAACAGAGAGAGACTCATCTCAAAAAAAAAAGAAAAAAAAAGAGAGAGAGAGAGAGAGAAAGAGCTGGATTTCAATCCCATTTCTATTTTTGATGACCTTGAGCAAGTTATTTAACATCTTTAAGCCTGTTTCCTCATCTCTAAAATATGACCCATAACATTACCTACCCTGGAGGATTGTTGTGATGGTTAAATGAGATAATATATGTCATATTCCTAGCATAGTGCCAGGCACATAGTAAGTAAATAAGCAAGATCTTGGGAATTTACTGTCTAGTTAGTAGTTTTCCAAAGCTAATGTGAAGAATTTTACAAATAAGCTTGTATATTGTCATATGTCATTTTTGAGTTAAAACACAAGATATTTTTTATATGACTCTTCTATGCTCATGAAGACCTTTATTGCAAAGGAGTGAAGGAAGAAATCATTTTCCCCACAGTAATCTCTACCACTGTGTTAGGGGAGAGGTCAACATGTTCAACTATTATACAGGAGTGTTTCCAGTAGAAGAACAGGCAAACCAAAGAGAATATTATTGCTAGTAGCATTTTAAATAAGCAGCAAGCCCAAGAGATAAGCAGGACTTAATAATTATTTATCCAAATTTTACCAGAGAACACTACTGTCAAGAGGTTAAATCACTTTGGCTAAGTAGAATCCACATCTCATTCTTAATCCAGTAACTCTTTTCTCACACATTCTGCCTCTCCTTAATCATTTATGTTGTGACAGAAAGGACAGACCTGATTTTCCTTTTATCTCAATGACTTAACATTAGGGCACTCTTTGAAATAGCAACATTTTCTTTGTCATAGTCCCAGTAACCACTGAGGAAAATACTCTTCAAGAATCCAAGAGGAGAGGCAAGAGGATCTCTTGAGCCCAGAAGTTTGAGGCTGCAGTTACATATGACTGCGCCATTGCACTCCAGTCTGAGCAACAGAGTGAGACCCCATCTCTAAAAACTAAGAATATAGATAAATAATAATTTTAAAAAAGAATCCAAGATGAAACCTGGATTCATCCAAAAGCATCCAATATTGGTTTTTATTTTTCTAAGGGTAAGATTGGGCAAACAATGCATTTTAAGTTATTTTTTCATCATCTAAGATAATTCTCATATCATTTTAGCTGAAATGTGAAATTTTTACTTGAAAATTGCAGTGCCCACTATACCAATGGGGATAATCTATGATGAAAAGATCAGCTTCCCTTATGTATCAGGGTCTCCACTATAGATCTCATGAGACAATATCTAGATGTTAATGTCTAGGTATCAAAGAAACAGAACATTATTTCATTTCAACTAGAAATGATGCTTAAATTATTCAATTTAATTAAATTGTCCAATTATTTGGACAATACTCCATCAAAAATCTGAAGATTAAAAGCAAGACCTAGGGCTGGGCGCAGTGACTCATGTCTGTAATCCCAGCACTTTGGGAGGCCAAGGTGGGCAGATCAAGACCTGGCCAGCATGGTGAAACCCTGTCTCTAATAAAAATACAAAACATTAGCCAGGCATGGTGGCATGCACCTGTAGTCCCAGCTACTCGGGAGGCTGAGGCAGGAGAATTGTTTGAACCCAGAAGGCAGAAGTTGCAGTGAGCCGAGATCTCGCCACTATACTCCAGCCTGGGCGACAGAGTGAAACTCCGTCTCAAAAAAAAAAAAACCTAGAGTTAAGATTTACAGTGATTACCATTAAAATATTATTAACCTATTATCCTGACACACAGCAAGGATTTGCAGATACAGATGTTTATAATTTTCTCATTTAATCCATTTGTAGGTATATTTCCAAATCTGTTTCCTGTTTATATTTCCCACAAATAATTGTTAAGAATCTACTATACTACTTTTCAGTAATAAAAAGTAACAAACTATTAATACACAAAACAACATGGATGAATTTCAAAAGCATTAGGCTATGTGAAAGAAGCCAGACACAAAAGACTACCCAGTATATCATTTCATTTATATGATAGTCTAGAAAAGGCAATATTATAGGAAGGTAATACAGATTGGTATTTCCAGGGGGTAGGGGTGAAAGTGAAGTAGAAGACTGAGTGAAGACGGGCATGAAGGAATTTGGGGATTGATGTAACGCTTCTTTATCTCGATTATGGTAAAGATTATGTGACTCCATACATTTGTCAAACACATGAAAGCATATGCTTCAAAGTGTAAATTGTATTATGTATAAATAATTTTTCAATTTAATGAAGAAGTCATAAAAGCTCCAGCTGTAGCATCCACGTGGCACACACATCAAATCATATAGAACCTACAGTATGTCAGAGGTGTGCATAGCTCTGGCAATAGCCAGAGATAGAGATGATACCTGATTTCAGGAGCTTGCATATACAGTGGGAGACAGGCTTTTTTTTTTTTTTGAGATGAAGTTTTGCTTTTATTGCCCAGGCTGGAGTGCAGTGGCGCAATCTCAACTCACTGCAGCCTCTGCCTCCCAGGTTCAAGCAATTCTCCTGCCTCAGCCTCCCGAGTAGCTGGGATTACAGATGCCTGTCCACAAGCCAGGCTAATTTTTTTGTATTTTTAGAGAAGGAGTTTCACCACGTTGGTCTCAAACTCCTGGCCTGAGGTGATCCGCCCGCCTCAGCCTCCCAAAGTGCTGGGATTACAGGCGTGAGACACCGCACCCAGCTGAGACAGACTTCTTAAAAAATTATCACAGGAAAAATATATACTCACAAATTTGGGTAAACACAATGAAGGGAGTGAGGGGAACAGAAAACAGAGAGAGCTAGTTTAGACCTTGTGAATTATTAGGGTTTTGATTTGCGATTTTCTTTTTTTAATGCCAAGACTTGTCTCTGGGAGTTTCTAGGATCACAAGCTCATGTAGAGCCCAGAGGAAACATGGGTCTTTCATTTAGTCACTTGGGTCCTAGAAACTGGGAGAAGCTAGAGTGAGAGGCTGCAAAATAATGAGAGTCTGTTAAACCATTAAAATTTCAGGGCATTTCCATTCCCTCTGGAGCTCCTGGACAAGGGAACAAAACTGTGTGAGATTGTTACTCATGGAAAATGCAGGTTTCATTAAGATCATTTGTATGTTATTAATAAAAATGTGTAATATGTATGAGCCTGATGCTTGTCTGCTCCTTGCCTCTTATTCTATCTAATTAGCTGTGCGTAGGAGGTGCTGAATTGCAAGAGCCCGTTTATTTTATAGTGATATTCCCAGTACAGCTTGAGATGTATTTGGAACATAACAGAGAAAATTAAACTGTTCCTGTGGCCCTAATATAAAGAAAACTCTGTGGGCTCACACCTTCACTGAAACTGTTTCCACATTTGAATTACATTCTCTCTCTGGTGATTAAGTTGAGAAAGAAACTGCCCTATTAGTAAAATACTTTCAGCATTACCAAAAAAGAAAATTCAATCCATGATTGGGTAATACAGAAATTAACAAGCACCCTGTTTTCAAAAATCACTATGTACACAAACACATAGTATATATGTATGCACACACACACATTCTTCAGGAGAAGAAGAGAAAATCCAACTTTCAATATTTGTAAAAGTGATTAACAGTAAAATCTTCTTCACCCCCAAGCACTTTAAACACAAACTCACTACAAAAGTAAACCACAGGAGTGTAATTATAATAATAGCTAATACTTATCTGGTACTGTGTGCCAGACATTCTTCTGCAAGCTTTACACATATTCATTCATTTAAACTCTCATTACCCCTATAAGGTAAATACGTTTGACCCTTGAACAATGCAGAAGTTATGGGTGTCAATCCTCACACAGTCAAAAAATCCGAGCATAATGGAACTCTCCAAAGCTTCACTACTAATAGCCTATTGGTGACTGGAAACCTTACTGGTAACATGAAGAGTTGATTAACACATATTTTGCATGGTATATGTATTAGGTACTGTATTCTTACAATAAAGTAACCTAGAGGAAAAAATGTTATTTAAAAAACTTGAGAAAAAATGTATTTACAGTAATATGTTATATTTATTGATACCATAAGTTTATGCCGTCTGTTTTGCTTTTTTTTGTTTGTTTTTTAAGACGGAGTCTCACTCTGTCACCCAGGCTGGAGTGCAGTGGCGCGATCTCGGCTCACTGCAAGCTCCGCCTCCCGGGTTCACGCCATTCTCCTGCCTCAGCCTCCCGAGTAGCTGGGGCTACCGGCGCACGCCGCCACACTCGGCTAATTTTTTGTATTTTTAGTAGAGACGGGGTTTCACCGTGTTAGCCAGGATGAACTCGATCTGCTGACCTCGTGATCCGCCCACCTCGGCCTCCCAAAGTGCTGGGATTACAGGCGTGAGCCATCGCGCCCAACCTATGCCATCTGTTATAAGATGAATTATCCGTCTGAAATGGCAGTAACCACCGCTGCAAACTTCACTCTATGGTACACATCAAGCAATTCAACTTTTTACTGTAATGTCATGACCTTTCTCTGCTTCTTGGGAGCACTTCCAGCAGCATCACCAGTAGCACTTCATATGGAACCCATGGTATTATTCAAGGTTTACAATATTGCACTAAATATGATGGAAAATACGTGAAAACTGTGGGCGATCACTTTTTATTGCAATATCCAATTTACTGGAGAGACAAACTGCTCACGTGGAGATGATTAGCATCCAACAGCATTTTAAGCAGATATTTGCAATACTTGAGCTCAGTGTAGTAGCAATAGGAGGTGGCTATGAAATTATTACAGTATGTACCACAGTTGAATGTATGCAGTTATAATTTAATATGGCATCTTTATATTTGTTTACATTTCTCTTGATTGTGAATGGTGCCATGAATGGTCTGTAAGTGTTTGTGTGCATAAGTTTTAATAAATTTTCACTTTTTATAATAGCTTTGTGTATATTTTACACATGTATCATTTACATTTAAATGATAAGATAGACTAATATCTACATATATTTTATGCATTCATGACATACTTAACTTTTCTTAATTTGGGGGATATTTCTAGGGTATGTAGTTCGTCTGCAAGTTTTTTCAAATTGTCTCAAATCTCCAAAAAATTTGCCAATATATTTATTGAAAAAAATCCATGTTTAAGTGGACCCATGCAGTTCAAACCCATGTTGTTCAAGGGTCAACTGAACTACCTTCATTTAACAGATGGAGAAACTGAGGCTCAAATAAGCAAAATAACTTGCCCAGATCACACAGTTAAATGAGTAGAGATGGGGTTGAAACTCAAGCTGTTTGGCCCCAAATGCATCCATTCTGCACTCTGTTGGCTGATGTCAGTTTCATCCATTATGTATAGATATGTGTATGTTTTGACACCCAGAGAAGTAGTTTTACTTAATATTGAAATTATTATAGGTGTGTGCATTCTAAATTTCCACCATAGATTAGTTTTGCTTATTTCTAATCAAAGATAACTTTCCTCTGTTTAAGAAAAGTACAACTAGATTAGGTAAACAACCAAAACCTTCAAAGATATCAAGTTGTTATTTTGAGCATATTGATGAATTCAAACTCTGGAAAGGCAAAGCTTCTTGGATTTTCACACGGTATTAAATATTTACAAGAGGCCAGGCACAGTGGCTCACACCTGTAATCCCAGCACATTGGGAGGCCAAGGCAGGTGGATCACTTGAGGTCAGGAGTTTGAGACGAGACTGGCCAACGTGGTGAAACCCCATCTCTACTAAAAATACAAAAATTTTAGCCAGGCTTAGTGGCGCACGCTTGTAATCCTAGCTACTTGGGAGGCTGAGCGGGGAGAATCACTTGAACCCATGAGGCGGAGGTTGCAGTGAGCCAAGATAGGGCCACTGCACTCCATTCTGGGCAACAGAGCAAGACTCCATTTCAAATATAAATAAATAAATAAATTTATTATATATTTATTATACATATAGTAAAAGGAGGATGGGGTAAGACTGGGCACAAGGATGAGTAATGAAGATATATTGGGTGAATTACCATTTAATTTTACTGACCTAAAAAGTTTTAAACAACACACCAAGTTCTGCTAACACCTGCAAAGTGTACTCCTCACTCCTTGATCCATCCCTCTACTTCTCCTCCTATGTTGTGTGTTTTCAGGCCACAGTTGGGCCTGAGAGTGTAGTGACCCACACCTTTTCCATGTCTCTTTCTTTTATTTTTTTTGAGATGGAGTCTTGCTCAGTCACCCAGGCTGGAGTGCAATGGCGCAATCTCGGCTCACTGCAACCTCCACCCCCTGAGTTCAAGAGATTCTCCTGCCTCAGCTTCCCAAGTAGCTGGGACCAGAGGCATGCACCACCATGCTTGGCTAAGTTTTTTGTTTTTTTTAGTAGAGACGGGGTTTCACCACGTTGGTCAGGCTGGTCTCAAACTCCTGACCTCAAATGATCCATCGCCCTCGGACTTCCAAAGTGCTGGGATTACAGGTGTGAGCCACCGCACCCGGCCCATGTCTCTTTCTTAGCCCATCTCCCTGTTCTCAATAAGACCCATTCATTAGGTGTGACCCCTTTGCCTGTACACTCCCCTGCACTGGCTTTCAGGCCCTGATTACAGCTCTGACTAGCCTCCTAAGATCACCAGCATCCCCACCATTACACACAAGGCCATGTAGTTTTCTTGGCTGAGGCAGCAACAATGTGACACTCCGTCTTCAGTTCAATCTCCAGCCTCTCAACATACTATTTCCTATTGGGTTATACAATAGAAAATTACAGCATAAACTGTAAAGATTAAGCTTTCTCATGTCAAATGAGATCTAAATTATGCCTTTTAATGGGAATTTCATCTGAATTTCATGCCAAATCCATATGACAAGCAATGAGCACGGACCTTGGGAAAAATTCAATAGGAAGGTGAAATGAAGGACAATATCAAAGTAGAAATGACAATGCAGTAAGTGTAAGGCCTTTGGCAATGTTTGGGGGATAAATAATAGATTTTAGTCGCCAAGAAATAGGTTATATTTGTTGGGTACTAAATAGGCATTGTTGTGAGATGTGGAGAACAGGAGGTGAGGGAATCATGACACAAAATAACTGTCTCTAAAGTGTTTGTGCTCTAATTGTGAGGAGAACGCATATGTATAAATGACAGGTGAAAATGACATCCAAACTAAACACCTAAGTGCTAAGAATAACGTGCTGATTAGAAGGACATGAGGGCCGGGCGTGGTGGCTCACACCTGTAATCCCAGCACTTTGGGAGGCCGAGGCAGGTGGATCACGAGGTCAGGAGATCGAGATCATCCTGGCTAAAATGGTGAAACCCTGTCTCTACTAAAAATACAAAAAATTAGCCGGGCGTGGTGGTGGGCGCCTGTAGTCCCAGCTACTTGGGAGGCTGAGGCAGGAGAATGGCATGAACCCGGGAGGCGGAGCTGGCACTGAGCCGAGATTGTGCCACTCCACTCCAGCCTGGGCCACAGAGTGAGACCCCGTTTCAAAAAAAAAAAAAAAAGAAGGACATGAGGATAACAGCTGGGGGTGGTGGCTCAAGCCTGTAATCCCAGCACTTTGGGAGGCCAAGGCAGGCAGATCAGTTGAGGTCAGGGTTTCGAGACCAGCCTGGCTAACATGGTGAAACCCTGTCTCTACTAAAAACACACAAAAAATTCACTGGGTATGGTGGCAGGCACCTGTAATAGCAGCTACTCAGGAGGCTGAGACAGGAGAATCACTTGAACCTAGGGGGTGGAGGCTGCAGTGAGCTGAGATTGTGCCACTGCATTACAGCCTGGGCGACAGAGCAAGACTGTCTCAAAAAATAAAATAAAATAAAATAAAGGAAGAAAAAAAAAAGAAGGACATGAGGATAAGCAGCCTCCCAGAGAAGGCTGGGTTTTGAAACACACTGTGAAGTTGGTAAGGAAAGCTAACTACCAACGAAGTAGTGGGAGTAGTGGTGGAAATTCTTTAGATTATCATGTAAGGAGATGTTCAGAAATTTGACACAATCAGAACTAAAATTTTGACAGCTGGCTATTAGGCAAGGGAAATTATTATTTCAAAGCTGCCAACAGTTTTCTGTTTATTTGTTTTTAATATAGCTGGAAGTGAAGGCATCATAAATGGTAGCAGGGGGAGCAGCTTCTTGATTGGGTAAAAAGAAAGTCCAAATTCAAATCTGGGATAGAAAATGTGAGACTATGAAGAATAAACTGCTCTGTATGATTTAATACAAGGTTATCATCATTGTGGACTGAAGTGTCTGTCTTGAGGAAGAAAGGATTTTCTCAACTCTCTAGGGCCAGTGATGACCCAACAGCTAGGGCTACAGGTAATAGGGACATGGTCAGAGGCCATGGTATGTTAAGCTGATTCCTGCACTATGGTGTAGGACTAGGTTTAGAGGAAGGTTGAAAGAGATGACTATGAGGGAACTCTTCTTGAGGGCTTTGCCAATGAACTCTAGTGACAGCTAATATCCAGGTTCCTTTTTCTGTTCTGCAAAATAATTCTCTTCTGTTATCCCCAAACCTTTGGTAATGTTTTGCTAACTACATAGTCTAGTCTTAGAAGTGCTTACAAAATTAACTGTGTCCACATTGAGACTTAAGCAATGTAAGCATATCCGTAGCAGCCTGGGGAAACAGTTTGAAATTGCTGGAATCCACCCATATTGAAGCCTAGAGAGCATTAAGCCAGACAGGGAGAAGGCAAGTAAGAGCTCATTAAAGGCTAGGCTTCTTCCTGATTTGGGGGTAAGAAGAGAGCTTGTGTGCTATTAATAGGTATTAAATAAAAAGTAACCCCTGGAGAACTTGAGTCATCTCAGTGTTGATCACATATGAGACCATGAAAGCTTAGATTTCGGGCTTTATAAATTAAAAACCTAGACAAGCACCACTCACTGGAAATGTACAGGGATGAGCGCTGGGTACTTGTAATTAGCTGTACCTAGCTGTAAACCCTGAACAAGTCTGATAACTTCTCTGAGCCTCATTTTCATCATCTACAAAGTGAAGGAAATTAGATCATTCTAAAATATCTATTAGATCAAAAGTTTTGCAATCCTGTCTACCCCCACCCCCGATGTCCTATATAATAGGAAGCCTGAAGAAATATAAAAGGAAATGCAAAGTTAAAAGAAAAAGAAAGTCATTGTAGCAAATATCATGTATCCTGATGGTCAATAGCTATATAATATACTGCTGCTCCTTATGATATTATGGTTATTATAAGATATATTATCTATCTACCTTTTTAGAAATTCTTATTTTTTTTAGTGACTAATCACTCTTACCCACAGTATTGTCTTCTTTATCTTATTAGTACTTATCTCTTACTTTATTTCATTACTGTCTTCTGTGTTCCCAATGAAAATGTAAGTGCCCTGAGAGCCTGTCCATTTTCTTTACTGATGTATTCCCAGCACCTAACACAGTATCTGGCACATGGTGGATATGCAATAAATATTTTTGAGTAAATAAATGATATTCTCTGTATCTTCACTCTTTTAGAAGATCTGACATGGAAGTAGTTGACTTCTATTAAACTCAATAGATAATACTCAATAGATAACAACCAACAAGGTTGCAGTAGATAATAACCCAAAAGTAGGATTGCCTACCAATTCTTTTGGTCATCTACCATATAAATACTAACTATATCCAACAGATTAGCTTCCAGTGAAACTGTTTGATCAGATGAAGTATGGTGCCCCAGGATCACAAAAACAGTTACTTTATGAATTAAGATATCTTAAAATTGTGGGTGAGATTTTCTTTCTTATTTGTCTTTCATTTCCAATAATCTAAGATCTTGACAACATGAAAAACATCAAGAGAAAGTCATGCTGGTTCAGTAGGAATGAGGAACCAATGTTAAAACCTGTTAACGCCACCTGGTCTCAAGAAAGTATATCACCATCATCACCTCCATCAATAATTAAAAGCAATGAAGCTGTCACACAATCAAAGCACAATAGCAAGAATTAATAAGACCAAAAAACAGCTTTCTGCCCAATCTTTAAAAAATGAATCCTGCATCGAGAGAGCAAAACCCAATATCTTCCTGTCTAGGCCTATTCCTAAGGCCTACAAAATTTCAAACGTCCAGCTAACACTCTCAATCTAGAGGCTCCTAACAGAACTAAAATTCTTTTGAGGTCTACAGAACAATTTAATCTTATCAATAGTACTGGTGAAGCTTACCCACGAAGGCACCATTTTTAGCAGGGGAAACTAATCTCAGCTCTTTTCACATTTATTTTTTAAGGGAGAAATGGGCCAGAGTTAGTGTTGGAAGAAACCTAGAGGGAGAGAAGAAAGTTGAATGGTGTCAGTAAATTTTCCAGCTAGACATAACAAAAACGGAAGTAAAATCTATGGGATGGAAACTCAATTATTTATAGAGTTAGCCTCAGAAAATTCCAGCATCAGCTCCAAAAACTTTGTAGAATGCCACTGGGGTGACAGAATACTCTAAAACATTGACTGAGCAGGCACTGGGACAGCTTAACAGCTAGAGAGAGTTATGCTGTGAATATACACATTTTCATGACTTGGGCCCAAGGGTTACATTGCTAGTTTCACCAAAGACCTTTTGTCTTTTTTTGTAGCTAAAATAGCGTTTAATATAAAACAGGTTTATTTTCCTAGCTTCAGAGTCCTTAAAGTGTAAATTGTTTAGATAAAATCAGTAAAATTCACTATTAAAAGAGGGGATCAATCTGTAACCACATATAATTTGTATTCTTTTTAAAAACAGCTTCCCACTCTGCTCCATCTTGTGTGAACATCTTTCCATCAATTGCTTGTCCTTGCCTCTTCCTGCACACATATACCCACAGTACTTTAGTAACAGCTAGTACATATTTAGGACTTGAACTTAAGGACAGGGCTAATATACTCTATGTATATTGGAACATAGAGAACACACCCCTTGTAATACACACCAAGCGCCAGTTTGCCATTCACAGCCTTAGTCCTGCTCTATTCTTAGCTATTGACATTGCTTTTCCTTTTCCATTTCCGTTTTATTCTTGAACTCTATCATCTGGTGTAAATTTGTTTCCTCATAATTATTCTGGTTCTAATCTTAGTCTCATGTCACTTTGGATTTCACCTCTATTGCTTCAACTCTGTTGCCACAACATCTCCATAGTAACACTTGACCAACAAAAAAGCATCTCAATTTCTCATAAGTCCTATATTCTCCTTTCATCTAATAGACACTTTTAAAAACATTTTTTAAACTTAAAATAGAGTAAAAAAAAAATTGGAGGAATTGCTGGGTCTTATGATAAATCTATTTTTCATTTCTTTAGAAACCTCCATAATGTTTTCCACAATGGCTGCACCAATCTACGTTCCTACCAGCATTGTATTAGGGTTCTCTTTTCTTCACAACTTTACCAACACTTTATTTCTCTTGTCTTTTTGATAATGGCTATTCTAACAGGAGTGAGATGATATTTCAATGTGGTTTTGATTTGCATTTCCCTGATAACCAATGATGTTGAGTACATTTTCATATAATTGTTGGCCATTTTATTTCTTCTTTGGACAAATGTCTATTCATGTATTTTGCCCAAATTTTAATTGAATTATTTGATTTTTTTTACTATTGCACTGTGCAAATTCCTTGTTTTTTGATGTTAACCCCTTATCTAACACATAATTCCCTAATATTTTCTCCCAGTCTGTTGGCTGTTTCATTTTGTTGATTAGCTCCTTTGCTGTGCAGAAGCTTTTTAGTTTTCTGTCATTTCACTTGTTTATTTTTGCTTTTGTTCTCTGTGCTTTTGGTGAGATATCAAAAAAATCCTTGCCAAGGCCAAATCAATAAACTTTTCCCCTATATTTTCTTCTGGGAGCTTTACAGTTTTAGGTCTTATGTTTCATTCTTTAATCTACTTTGAGTTTATTTTTGTGTATGGCATTAGTCAAGTTTCATTCTTTTGCCTGTGGATACCAAGTTTTCCCAACATAATTTACTGAAGGGACTAGCCTTTCCCCCATGGTATCTTCCTGGTGGCCTTGTCAAAAATTAGTTGACCATCTATGTATAGGTTTATTTCTGGGCTCGCTATTCTGTTTCATTGATGTAGGAGTCTGTTTTTATGTCAGTACCATACTGTTTTGATTACTATTTCTTTGTATTATAATTTGGAATCAGAAAGTATGATGCCTCCAACTTTGTTTTTCTTTCTCAAAATTATTTTGGCTACTTGACATCTTTGTGGTTCCATACAAATTTTAGAATGTTTTATATTTCTGTGAAAAATGCATTGGAATTTTGATGGGAATTACATTGAATGCATATATTGCTTCAAATTGTATAGACATTTTAACCATATTGTCTTCCAATTCATAAACATGGGATATCTTTCCAGTTAACTGTGTGTTCTTTAATTTATTTCATCAATGTTTTATAGTTTTCAGTGTGAAGATCTTTCACATCCTTGGTTACATTTATTACTATTTTATTCTTTTGGATGCTATTGTAAATGGGATTATGTTCTTGATTCCTTTTTCAGAGAGACCATTATTTGTGTAAAGACATGCAACTGATTTTTGTATGTTTATTTTGTACCCTGCAACTTTACTGAATTCATTAATCAGTTCTAATGAATTTATTTATTAGTTCTAATAGCTCTAATAGAAAGTAGGAAAGGTGAGATAGTAAGGCCTTGATCAATAATTGAAACAGTGGCCTGTACCAATGGTAAGGTAAGGGACAGAGACGGTGACAACCAAAGTCAAGCAGCAGCATCCTGCCAGGAATTTGATTAGAGAGGATGTGATTGGAGACTCCTAGTTTTGTGGAACTGCTTGAAATCAAGAGGGAATATGGAAATACTGAGACCATATCCTCAGTCTAGAATGCAACTCAAAAGACCACAAGAGTAGGAGATAAAAAATCAGGATTCTAAGAAACCTAGATGGAGACATGTTAATTATCTATTGATATCTAAAAAAAAACCCTCAAGTTACTTATCATCTCTCAGTTACATCTCACAGTTATCACTGTACAGTTATCATCTCACAGCTCTGCATGTCAGAAATCCAAGTGGGCTTCACTGAGTTCTGTGATTAGGACCTCGCAAGACTGAAATCAGTGTTGGTTAGGCTGGGATATTATCTAGAGGTTCTAGAGAAGAATCCACTTTCAAACTCATTCTGGCTATTGGCTGAATTCATTCCTTGTACTTGCAGGACTGAGGTTGCTGGTCTCTTGCTCGCTGTTAGCTGGTATCTGCTCTCAGATTATAAAGGCCACCCATATTCCTTCCATCTTCGAAGCCAACAGTGGTGTGTCAAATGGCCCTGTTGCTTCAAATCTCTTCAACTACCATTATTCCTACTTCAGCCCCACTTGCCACCAGCCAAAGAAAGCTCTCTGCTTTTAAGGGATCATGTGATTGTAATGGGCCCACTGCATAGCCCAGAATAATCCCCCTTATTTCAAGGTCAACTGTGTCATATAACATAATCAAAGACATTTCATCACATTCACAGGTTCTGGGGATTAGGCAGAGCATCTTTGGGGGGCCAATTTAGAAATTCTAACTTTAGAAATCCTATTATAGGACTCTAGCCAAATTCATTCTTGAATTATATAAATTTATATATACTGTGTACTTAGTATAATGTTTTCTATACTGGGTCCTTGCTTTTTCTCAGGTATTGATATGATTTGGCTGTGTCCCCACCCAAATCTCATCTTCATCTTGAATTGTAGTTCCCATAATCCCCACATGTCATGGGAGGGACTAGGCGGAGAAAATTGAATCATGGAGGCTGTTTCCCACATCTTGTTCTCATGATAGTGAGATGGTTCTCACGGGATCTGATGGTTTTTTAAGGGATTTCCTCCTTTAATGGGCACTCATTCTCTCTCCTGCTGCCATGTGAAGAAGGATGTGTTTGCTTCCCCTTCAGCCATTACTGTAAGTTTCCTGAGGCACCCCCCAGCCATGCTGAACTGTGAATCAACTAAACCTCTTTCCTTTATAAATTACCCAGTCTTGGGTATGTCTTGTATGTTTTTATTAGCAACATGAGAACAGACTAATACAAATATAATGTAGCTTGAGAAATCAGAGACGTATGGATTGTGCTGATGAATCTTAGAAAAAGAAAGGTCTTCAGAAGATAATCTTTGAAGTAAGTAAGAAACAATTATCCTCATTTTATACTTAAGTACCCAAACCAAGAGAGTTTAAATGAGTCTTGCTCAAGACCACATGGCTCCTGGTGGCAAAAATAGAGCAGAATCTTATCTGTTGCTCTTCACAGCCTCAACATGTTTAAACAAGTGCTTGTTCCCGAAGCTGTTAGAAATCTTTAAAAGCATCTCTAATTGTTTAGCTGCTAGGTTTCTCCATTCAAGAATAAATCAGCATCTCTTGCAGCAAGGCCAAAGATTCAGGATTTCAAGAGTCTTTCCTACTGTTAGTCATTAAGAGCCCAGTTAGGAATCAAATATGCACTTAAATTTAGGTAAAACATGCATGGATTTTGCAGGCAGAGAGCTTGAGTTTCGATCTACCTTACTTTGGGCAAGTTTCTTCACCTCTCTTCATCTGGAAAATGGATGCAATACTAGTACCAATCTCACAGAGCTACTCTGAGGAGTAATTGAAATAGTGCATGCAAATTGTTCACTTACCGTAGTGACAAGACTATATATGTTTTCTGTTTTTTGTTTTTTGTTTTACTAGACCTCCACACGGATTTCTGATGATAGCAGCTGGATTAGCTATTCTCTCTCTCTGGCTATTTCTCATTTCTGCAGCTACTTGACTGAGGGAATGGCCCCACTCTTTTTTCCTGCTCCCTTGGTGTCAGGCTAATTGAATAAAAATAGGAATCTACAAATTAAAAGTCTCACACATGCTGCTATAGCAACGCTCTCTCTCCCATTCCTCTGATTACATGCATCCATCCTCTTGTAGGCTTAAGACAAATGTAATAGTGATTTGCAAGGGCTCTAGGGTCAAACTAGGGTGACCAACTGCTCCAGTTTGCCCAGGCTAAGGAGTTTTCAGGGACATGGAACTTTAAAGGCAAAAACCAGGATTGTCCCAGGAAAACAAAACAAAACAAAAAAAAAACAAACAAAAATCCAAGATGTTGTTCACCCTCTATCAGACTGCCTAGGTTCTATCTTTGGGACCTTAGGCAAGTTACCGACCTTGCTGTACCTCCATTTCCTCATCTGAATATAGATTATAACATCTTTCCTTATAAAGTTTTTTTTTTAAGAGTAAATGAATTATATAGAGAGTGCTCAGAATAGTACCTAGAATGTAACAAGCACTCAATACATGTTGGTTAGTATTACAATTACTAATCACTACAGGAAAACATGGAGTAATAAAACTAACACACAAGGACATGATGGAGGATCTAGAATCTTATAAAGTCCTTAGAGCCCAAGAGTGAAGCATCTAGGAAGGATTATCCACCCCAACAATCCCCCACCCTGCCATCATCGGGTCATGATCCTTCTCTGGGAGATCATGAAACCAAACAAAAATAATAATATACTATGACCTCAAGAAAGTATAATAAGAGAAATACAAATTGCACTACCTTGAGCTAATTTATTTGACTAATCAAAACAAAACAAAGCAAACAAACAAAAAAGCCCCAAACAGAAGTTTGAAAATGCTCAGTTACTAAAGCTGCAAAGAAATAGACACTCTCACACTGCACTAGAAGGCAGGCAAAATGGCCAGCCCCCATGGAAGGGTATCTGGCAATATCTACCAAAATTACAGATGCATTTGAACCACAATGCTACTCCTGGGAATCTATCCCACAGTTACTGTTACCTATGTATCACAGCATAGATGGTTAAAGATATCAACTAGAGAACTGTTTCTTATAGCAAAAACTGGAAATGACCTCCAAAAATAGGGGACTGGTCAAAAGAACTATGGTGTATCTGTATAACTGAATATGGTACACAAATAAAAAAAGAATGAAGAAGCTCTCTATGTATCAATATGGCAAGATCTCCAAAATATATTGTTCAATAATGAAAAAGCTTGGTGCAAAATAGTGTAATATGCTATCTTTTCTGAAAAAAGAGAGGAGGAAATAAGAATGTATATGTATGCTTGTACATGCAATAAGAAACACTGCAGCTGGACACAATGGTGTGCACCTGTAGTCCTCAGCTACTCAGGAGGCTGAGGCCAGAGGATCACTGAGTCCAGCAGCTCAAGGCTGTAGTGCACTATGGAGGCACCTGTGAATAGCCACTTCGCTCCAGCCCAGGCAACGTCATGAGACCCTGTCTCGAAAATAAAATAAAAAACACTGGAAAAATAGCAAGAGACTAATTGAAATTACTTATTAAGGGCAGAAAGAAACTGGGTAGATGAAGAGCAAGGTGGGAGCAACATATCTCAATCTAGATTTTTAAATTTTGTTTTTATTTTCACCTTGTAAAGTGTAGTACATAACAAAAAATATATTTGTAGGCCAGGTGCGGTGGCTCATGCCTCTAATCCCAGCACTATGGGAGGCCAAGGCGGGTGGATCACTTGAGGTCAGGAGTTTGAGACCAGCCTGGCCAGCATGGTGAAACCCCGGCTCTACTAAAAACAAAAAAAATTAGCCGGGTGTAGTGGCACATGCCTGTAATCCCAGCTACTGGGGAGGCTGAGGCAGGAGAATCACTTGAACCCAGAGGCAGAGGTGGCAGTGAACCAAGATCATGCCACTGCACTCCAGCCTGGGTGACAGAATGAGACCCTGTCTCAAAAAAAAAAAAAAAAAAAAAAAAAAGAGGCAGAGGTTGCAGTGAACCAAGATCATGCTACTGCACTCCCGCCTGGGTGACAGAATGAGAGCCTGTCTCAAAAAAAAAAAAAAAAAAAGAAAAGAAAAGAAAAGAAAAAGGAAAAGAAATATACATTTTTAAAAACCAAAGTAAAAAATTAAAATCTCCTTTTCTATATCATCCACTTAAAAATTAGCATAGTGTGCTATGATGGCACCTGTGAATAGCCACTTCACTCCAGCCCAGGCAATATCATGAGGCCCCATCTCTAAAACAAAACAAATTTAAAAAAAGAAAGAAACTGGAAAAATAACAAGAGAGCACTTAACTTCTATAAAACACATCTCATTTGAGAAGACAGGAAATTGTGTTGAAAACAACCCCATGGTATCCTCCATGCACCCAAACAAATAAACAAAAGATTTCTGCCATGTGATTTTGAGGACCACTCCCTGCCAGCTAAGCAGAAAGAAAGCAAGGGCACAGGTGGTGTTCTGGGAATTAGAGTCATATAGGAACTGATTTATATTCCTCTCCCATTTGTATGTAGACCCCAGTAACCCAACAGCGTGGCCAGCATCTGGGAGGAGATAAAACGCAGTGTGTTTTGCCTTTTTCAGCTAGGATGAGGTTTCATTCTCTCATCGTTTTACATTTGCACGATAGGAGATCTGTTCTGCTTCTTATGTTAATTGAAATCGGCTGCTTTGGGCTCTGACACAGGCATTTAGCGCTAACAGTCAATTGCTCTTTCCTCAGCCATCTGGCAAAAGAGTTGAAACCAGCAATTTTCTGAGTCAGAATTAGACATCTGAAAACAAACGTGCACATAGGCAAACCTCTTAGAAGTGCAGAATGAAAGAAAGTAGCAGGTAGCAGGATGCTATAAAGCCAACTCTGAAGCAATGGGATCTCTAATAGGGGAACCCAAAAGGGTACGTTGGCTTCTGACACCACTACCACCCTTTCCAGTATGCATCAGAAGCACTGGGAATCAGGCTGTCTCTCTCTCCCTTACCTTCCCTGCTAAATGGCAGGAGCTACCCTAGCTTTGGCCTCATTTGGCTTTCCCTTGTAGACAGGTGTACTACTCTCTCAGATATTCTCACCTTTAGTACTTGAGCAGCCACTTCAAGTTCAGCAGGAATTTATGGAGCACTCGAGCTTCTGTGATAGCATCTTCTCCTGGTTCTTCAAAATCCCTGACTGTTCTTTTTCTCCTCCCCCTCATGTATTCCCCTTTCTCCATCTGCCCTTTAAATGTTGGTGTTTCCTCAACTTCTGTCCTCGGCTCATCTTACATCATATATTTACTCTCCTGTTGCAGGTTTGAGGCTGCAAACAGGAGAGTAAGTATATGGTGTAAGATGAGCTGAGGCCTAAAGGACCATGCAAATAGTGCTGGTTTCATTCTTAAGAGGGGGACTCATTCTAGACCCTTTCTGACACAGGCTGCTTTTTTCTATGGGCCCATTCAGAGTTTCATGATGAAGCACCAAACTCTCTTCACACAAAAGCAGCAGTGACTCTATATCTGGCTGCCATTTCCTGCCTTCCAATTGAAGTCTTTCCTAGTAAAGAGTTAGGACACCCCCAAACCTGGGCAGAACATATCCCCCACCCCCAACCACCAATGTCAATGGCTCAAAAGCTACACAAGTAAACCTTAAGTATTAGTAAAGCACAAATCATGTCACTTCCAGATGGAAGACTGTGTCATTCCTGAATCAAACACTCATTTGTGGTACCCATTATGGTGCCATTTGGCCCTACAAATCCTCTATACAGAAAGTGCAAATAATACACAAGTGCTCATCAGGTTAATCTGAGTGGTAGCTGTGTCCACGTGTGCCTGTCCATGCATCCCTCCCAAAGATTAGCTAAGCATCCGCTCCAAGCATCTTTCATCTGCTGAACCCTCTTGCTCTGCCTTTACTCTGGTCCTTATATCCACATCACTAAGAGGGAAGGTTAGTGTAGAAGACAGACAGGATGTATGAAGTTTGGATAACACAGGATTTGGGGAGTGTGGTCTTTCTGCCCACATGCACCCTGCCCTAAGTGAGTTATGTTCTTCTTTCCCCTTGTTTATTGCTCTGTTTTGAATTGATTCAATGAAGTATGAGATTCCAACATATTCATTCCAGCTATGAGCCTTCCTGTTCTGTGACCTCTGTAATAAGTTGCCTGGTATGGTACTTGTAGGCTATCCTTGCATCAGAGTGATTTCCCACAAGACATTTTATTGGCTTCATCTGTATTTTACCTTATGATTACATGCTACTATTCTTTTTTGCATTTTCAGATTTCCCTTTAATAATTTTGTAATCTAGAAAGTAAGTGTGCTTTTCAAAAGGGTAACATGATCTACTGTGTCTTATTGAACCCCAGGCACTAAGGGTTGAAACTAAGTTTTATCCAGACTAGTTTCCTGTGGAGCAACACAGCAAATAGGATGGTGGTCAAGTTTGCACAGGTTGGCTTCTCACCTTATGTAAGAATGTCAGAGATGGTCCACTTGCTGTCTGTCCCCTCACTCCCTGCTGTAGTCAGATGTTTATGACTTATCTGTAGACCCCAGACTCAACTAAAGCATAGGAGCAGCTCAATGCTGGGTTCTTGGTGCTAGCATCTACCGCAATTCAGGGTGAAAATACTGGGGTAGGGGAGATGACATTACGAAGACTGACTAGCCACTGGGCAAGGTGCTCACAGCCTCAGATGCTGGACACAATCAGCCGTGTGTGTCACTGTGGACTTGGCTAACTGTGAATCTCCTTCCTCTGGCATTTCCTATTTTTATTCTCAGAAGGTAACTATAATTTTAGAGGATGCAAAATGGCAATCCACACCATGTCATCGTTAAACAATTAAGGAATTTCACATTTTTTAAAATCCAGATTTCTTGCTTCTCTTGACAAATGAGAGCTCTGGACATGCAATCCCCCGTGGCAACAATAGGCTGCCCTCTTTAGATAGAATCCAACCACTCATGAGCAGTTCACTCCTTTACATTTCCTGCATCTCTCTCCTTGGCTATACTATTGGTTGCAGTATTCCTGGCTGTTGCCTCATGTTTTACAGAAAGTGCAATTAACCTGTTGTCTGTTCTCTTTGTCCAATTTGCAGGCTTCATGCGGCCCAGTTCTCTTGCCTGTGCTCTGCTCTCTGAGCATGAGTGCTGATATCCAGCCTGCCTCACTGTGCCTTTCCATCCCCCACCTTCCTGTGCATGCAGACCTCCTTACTATTGCTCTCTGCCTGGTTTCTCAGGTCCCTGTTTGACCTTGGCCAGTCTTCTAGTTGCTCTTCTCTTAAACCAATAATATGACCTGACACCAAGAACTGCTGGGGGACCTGCTTTTGATGACCTACTGCATTTTAACATAGGGGTCATCACACCAGCCTAGCAAACATTGTCAGAACCCCAGAAGCTTCTTTAAAAACTAGTCAAGTGTTTCAGTAGCCTGATACTAAATCCCTCCAGTCTGTGACCTATTCATTCGGTTGGTACCAAATGCCCCCTGAGGTTAAACAAGGCCCTGAAAAGATAATGAGATGAAATGGCTTGACCTTCAGGTGGAAGATCTCTCCTTTCCTTCCTAGCCTCTAGCTGGCTTAGATTATTTTTATCATTTTTCAAAGCAGCAACGTTTATTTCCTCTGCTTCAGTGAGCTGTGCAGATGCAAGGTCTGGAAGGAATATTTAGTGGTCGCCATGGTTACCATTAGTCATATGAAGTTATAGCGCATGTGCTGATTCCTCTCTTCACAGCTGTAAAAAGAAAGCACGCTTCAAAAAGCAGGCTTGCTAGGGCTCTGAAGACTTTAATTCTGTAATGGGTCCAGCTCCTCTGGTCATTTATCTTGATCTGCCAGTTTAATTAGCACTTTAAAGATTTTAGGCAGAGAAGATTTCATAGAACATGAAGCTAGATGGACATTTTGAGATTTAGCCTCACCTTCTGATTTTACAAATAAGGAAACTGAGGCCCAGAAAGGAGAAGGGACTTAGAGCCACACAGTGAGTCAATTAAAGTCATCAAAGGGGTATGCTTAGTAAGTACCAGGGCCAGGGCTCCTTCTAGCTCCGCTATATCTCCCAACCTAACTGGCAGACTGAGTCATGTGAAGCTCTAGGATGGACAAGGACTAAACAAGTTCAGTGCAAGGCAGGGAAATCTGATCTCACAAGAAGGGGTTGGATTCCTTAAAATGGGGCTTAAGCCAAAATCCAAAAAGGGTCTCCAAGACCATTTTAGGCTTGGAGTATCAACTGAGTTTTATGATTGGCTAAGTCCAGATGGCACAAACAACCACTATTTCAAAATGGGCTGTTCGTCTACTGGTTCTGACCAGTTTTCTAAAAAGTGGATGCCCCGCAAGTGCTGCAGCTCCTTCTGTGGGGCCTGACTTCTCGCTATCTTGCAATTTCCCTACTCTCCCAGCTCAATGTTCAATAGAACCTCACTTCCAATAAGCCCAGGACTATGGCTCTTCTGATGTTTTGCAATTGGCTAGATATAAAAATAAAATTGCACATAGAACATCTTGAACAAGGGTCAACTATCTTCACACTTTTTAATTTAAGTAAGACTTTCTGTTTGATGGACTCAATATTTAACGTGTTTTTGCCTGAATAACCTCAACATTGGATAACCTGAACAAACACTTCTTCACAGACCTTGTTTCTAGGTACTGTTCCTCACTAGAAGGAGCTAGGATTCCTTGGAGAGAGGAGGGCCAGAGCAAAGCAAGACAAGAAGGGTCTGGAATATCTTATACAAAAAAGTGTACAAAAAATGATGAAGGCTATGTCAAAAAGACTTAGGGCCAGCTTCAAGGGTACCTATTGGCTAAATTTGGGACAATTTAAGCTTCAACAAGAATTAAATGGCAGCATTGGATCTAATTCACTGAATAAAAATAAGAATCCAGCTAATCAATGTAGAAGAAGTAATAATAGTTGGTAAGTCAATCATCTTTTTTAAAAGACATCATAGTAATAACTGATTTTATCAAGATTCATCAACGGATGCTAAAGCTATAGGGTAAAAGTTTGAAGAAGACAGGATATTAAATAGTCTCAAAATATCTTCCTGTAGATTATAAAGAGAAATGGTAGTCTTCTAGTGGAGATACCTAGCAATCACCAGTTTATAAAAAGTGATCAAAGTTAATGTCATCAGTAATGTGTGCCTCTAGGTGGTGATATGTTGTTAAGGACACAACATCATTGTCATGGTATGCTTGCCAAAAGTGCATAATCTGAACTTAATGATGAGTAACCCTGAGGCAAACCCAAATCATGTGACATTTCTACCAAACGTCTGGCCTGTATACTTCAATAATGTCAATGTCCTGAAAAACAAAGCTAAGGAACTGCTTCAAATTAAAGGAGATTAATGAGCCATGACAACTAAATGCAATCTGTGATCCTGAATTGGATGCTGGTTCAGGGAGAAAACAAACAATTACAAAAACATTTTTAGGGCAATTATTAAAATTTGAGTATGATCTATATATTAAATAATAGCATGTATCAATGTTAAACGTCCTGAATTTGATGTTGGTACTATGGATCTATAAGGGGAAAAGGAGTATGATGTTTGAAACTAATACTTGAATGGGAAAGGAGGGAAGAAGAGAGAATATAAAAGAAAATGAAGAAAAGGTTAAAACAGGCAAATTCAGATGGGTTTAGAGAGTTAGTTCTTGGTACTACTCTTAAAACTTCTGTAAATTTGAAATGATTTTAAGTTAAAAAGTAAAATTTAGAAACTCTCCAATTTGAAGGGATCCTAATGCAGGTAGCAGGTAGGAGCAAACAAGACAAGCTCAAACTGACAATTTACAAGTCAAGAATTATTTAACTACAGCTCAAAGTTCTAGGCAGAAAGAAATGTATATTAATTTATTCTTTAAGAAAACATTCATTGAATAATATTAATAATAGTTAATATTTGTAAGCACTTTGTGTGGGTTACTTGGTTTCCATGTTGCAGCAGATTGCATTTTCTAAATATAAACATATTGAACTACATTCCATCCTACATGCTTTTCTTAAAATGTGATGTTTACAACTTACATCAAGAGATGGGGTATACTTTTCTTTTTCTTGAACCTGAAAAGGCCTTTAACTACTTTGACCAATATAATAGCATGGAAGAGATGGTGCATGACTTCTGGGGCTAGGCCATAAAAGGCATAGAAACTTATCTTGTCTCTTGGATTGCTTGCTCTGAGAATGAAAAGAAATGGTTATGCAAAAAATGCAATGGGGCCGGGCGTGGTGGCTCATGCCTGTAATCCCAGCACTTCGGGAGGCCAAGGTGGGCAGATCAAGGTCAAGGCCGAGGAGGTCAAGAGATCAAGACCATCCTGGCCAACATGGTGAAACCCTGTCTACTAAAAATACAAAAATTAGCTGGGCGTGGTAGCTTGTCTGTAGTCCCAGCTACTTGGGAGGCTGAGGCAGGAGAATCGCTTGAACCCAGGAGGTGGAGGTTGCAGTGAGCCAAGTTCGCGCTACTACACTCCAGCCTGGTGACAGAACGAGACTCTGTCTCAAAAAAAAAGAAAAAATGCAATGGGAACACACTGATGAGAGAAGAAATAATGTCTGAGTAAAGCTTCAAAAACAGATCTATTATGAGATCCCTCATTTGCCACATGAACCAGTGAGGGAGCTGCTGCAGGCCTACATGAGCCTACCAAACAAGCAGACACCCCTGCCTCACCTTTCCCTAAACATAATTATATTCTCTCATTGTGTTTTGTTCAAGAAAACTTGATTACATGCCTTGATAATGCAATGGATTACCCATTAGACATTACTATCTTAGAATTTAACCATAAACATTTTGCAAACACCATATAAAACCAAATTTGAAGCCCTCAGTCCATCATCCTAATATTGGTACAGAAGACAATGAACTGATGTGACACTCATCTTCGTACCTAATAAAAGCCTGCCAGTTCTGCGCCTTCCCCAATGTTTCCAGCAGTCCCTCCTTTTATTCTTTGTTCACCACTGGGTATGCAGTCAGCATGTAATAAATAATAAAAACAACTTTTCTCTTTAGTGCTTGTTTCTTCTGCTTTCTAAATTCTTTCAGTTCTCTTAGACATAGTAGTTCCACATTCTTCAAATAGCACACTAAAGACTCAAACAAACCATCCCCTTCCCTGAGCATCTTAACATTCATAATCATAGCACTTAGCATTTAAATATATGCCTTTGACCCTGAGTAGTCTCATGTCACATGGTGGAGGTTATAAGCTTCTTTGTCAAGGGCTTATATGTGTCATTAATATGCCACCCTCAACCCCCATGTGCACCTAGCACAACCTTAAGTATGCAGTATAACACATACTTGTCAACTGATTGATCCTAACATACTAAAAAGTTCACTGCTATTTATGTTGATAACTTTTCTAAATCTTCTACAAATAACATTTGAAGAAGTAAGTTTCCAATGCCTAGTGAAAGAAAGCTGGCCTGGTAAATGATGTGTTACAGGGGAGGTGTTCTTGGTCTCTTTGCTGACCCAGAACTAACTTATCTCTTTACAGTCACTGGACAGGCACCAGCCTCCAAAGGAGCACAGGACTGATATCCTGTACCAAGGATGTAGATAGCACTGGATGCACTTACGAGCATGTGGTCTGGAATCAGGCAGAATGGGTTCGAAGCCTAGCTTTTCCACTTCCCAGCCATGGGACCTTAGGCATTTTACTTCTTTAAACCTTAGCTTCGGTGTCTTCAAAATGGGGATATTAATCTGCTGTACTTAGCTCATAATGTTGTGGAGAGGATTAAATGAGGCATGCAAAGTGTGTGACACAGGTACCGAGAGAGCTACAGAAGTGTTAGTGGTTATTCTCCAGGTGATGATACCAGTCACCCTCTGCGTACAGTCAGCCCCATGTGGGAGATGAAGAAAAGGGAGGTGTTAGTCCCTGGTTGTTTGTTCTTTTTCCCTGGCAGGTAAACGGGATTTCTTTTGCTTATTTTTTATTTCCCTCTGGCATATCTGAAAAGGAACAACCATACACAAATAAAACATGAAAATTCAACTCACAGGATGAAACCAGTTCTTGCCAGTTCCTGGGGCATTTTTTCACCTGCTGCTGATTTCTCTCTTCCTCAACTAAATTCATTTTAAGATAAATTCTATATTTTTCTTCTCTCTTTTAAAAAAATTACCATAAAATTTGGGAGAAATGCTCCAGTTTTATTCCTTTAGACTACTCTCCATAAACTTTTTAATTCAGCTAGTATATGTGTATTCAGTGTATTCAGTCAGATGAGTTAACCTTTTTAGACTATGAAAAGGTTCCAGCATTATCATCTCTGGGGGCATTCAGACATGAAAGTTATTTAGCACAATGTGCTATGCAAATCTAACAAGGGATAACAGCTTGAACTCCTGGAGCACTCAATTAACTGTAGCATCTGTTAAAAATGAAAAAAGACATCACAAAATTGAAGGTAACACCCCTATCTCCTAGGGAAAAAAAAAATGAGAGTTGCTCAACCTTTAGAGATTTATGTTGGGGTGTAACTTATAGCTCATGGGTTAAGAGTGACTTGTGTGGCCCCTTGGATAAGGAATTTAATCTCTGGGCTAACCACTCAGTTTCTTTGTCATTTGAGAGGAAAGAAAGAGAAAAGTCAATGGACCCTTGGAGAATAAAGATAGAAGATTAGACACCAAATGAAAAACTATGACCTTGTATTCAGCCCTCATCTCACGACTTTGAATCTTACCCCAAAATCACCTTTTGAATAACAGGGAAGGTAACTGGAGAGAGAGATAATATGAAAAGGACTGAGAAATGCTAACAAGGGTACATAATTTTCATCACTCCCAAATGACAAGCTCATGTGCCAGGACATGGGCTTTAATTCTACTTATACAAAAGCCTGAGTTCCAATACTTAATATCTTCCGATAATTACTTGGCCAGTAATCCACATCAAATCCCCACACTCCAATGATTCATTTTGAAAAGCTCCTAAACAAGCACCAACTCGGCAATCTTCCACCCTGATTCTCTTGGATGGCGAAAAGAAAATACTTCAGAGTTGCTCACCACTGGGCGGCACTTGGAGTGAGGTCATGTTTGGAAACAGGAGACGAACCAATAGCAAAGATTAATGGGGCTTTGGAAAAGCAAGTTTAAACAATATGTTCATGAATCGGGGGTAAATGTAAACCAATCAAAAAGGGAAAATATGTATCCATCTTTTACGCTTATATTTTTGGCCACCCTGTCGAACAGCTGCATCTTGCTGCCTTATTGGCTATCCCAGGCCAAGGATAGTTTACAAGCTGAAGTCACAGGCTCAGCTGGGGAACTGAGTTGCGGCGGGGGTGGGGGGGGGAATTAGGTCAAGGAGGATTCAGTGCTAAAGGAGGACTGTGATTTGCAATGGTTTTTTAAAATCCCATAACTGCTCTCTTACTAAACAGGTTTTTAGTGGTGTCATAACTGACATGGCCATTTTCCTAAGTTATTGCCTCATTGGAATTTCAGTAAATAGTGCTAGTCTTCCCCATGATCATGGCAAGAGAAAGGTAGGTAGAAAAAGACAAGCATCTCCAGAAGTGATAAGCAACCCAAATCTTATGATACAAGTGATTCATCCTAAGAGCCAGAGTCAAGATAAATGCTAAGAAAGCTGATCTGTGTTGCCACTTCTCACATACATCCGCAGACTAACATTCGAGGTTGAAAATCAACATAAATGTTCTTACTCACCTTCTTCTATTCAACAAGGCAGATATTTCAATTGCCTATAATTCCCCACTATGGAACTCATTACAACTAGTGCCATTTTGAATAAAGGAAAAGTTAATCTGTAAATTTTTTTATTTTTGATACAGGGAAAGTATGGTAATTTGTAATGTTTTATAGGGTTTCGTGCCTTGTATACTTAAAGAGGAAAAATCACAAAAAGCCCTATCTATTGTATGCTTAGTGTCTAGAAGAACTTTTGTCAAATCTCCAAGTCAGTATAAAAATAATTTTTTTTACCTTAACAACTGATAGTCTAAGACCAAGTCCAAAGCTGTGGGAAAGGACACAGAGGCAGATCATTTCTCCTAGTCCAAGCCATGTGTAAATAAAGGAGGCAATCACATTTGGGGAATCAATCAGGGTGCAACTTGATCTGCAATCTCATAACTGCCCCATAAGGCTGCATTATCAGTCACCAGAGAGTGGTCTATTCTCTGTTAAAGACAGATGCTAGAGAAGAAGCAAGACCCCATTGCAATCCACACTCCATGTCACAGACTGGAAAGATGGACACAAAGCAGGGATCAAAACCCAGCCAGATCATCTGAAGATATCCAAAGAGATTCCTACTGGACATCAACCTCTAGATCATAAGAGAGAAACCCCAGGTGTCCTGATGACCCAGGTAGAAAGGAAGGTGACCCTTTCACATTCTTGCGTAGAACAGAGTAACTTATTGTAGGGGTCTACGAGGCAAGCGTGTCATGAAATTCCACATCCCTCTGTCTAGCACTCTGCATTTCTAGGCACCTAGCTCCACCTAGGCCTAGGAGACACACTGAGAAACTTGTAAGGACACATTTGAGACTTCTAGGATTGGCTGCCATTGGGCAAACATCCCACGTAGATGTCTCTGGGACTGGAGGAAATGACTGGCTCAAGTCCAATCCAAGTTATGGCTCCAGCCAAAGATTCTGGGGTGAGAGATGGGCTGGAATGCCAGGGCAAACAGGAATACTTAGAAGGGAATGAGACAGAAAGCTGAATGTATCTGTCATGTCTGGCAGCATGACATGGAGTATGGCAGGCATGTGTAAGGAGCAGACTGAGGAAGGAGCAAGGGTGGAGCAGACACGAAGATGAGAGCAAGGCTGTCTCTAGGCTTTCTCTGATAAATCTGCAGCAGCAAGAGCCTATAAGTGTCAGGGCTAGTTCACGACCACAATCCAGATGGGCTCTGAAACAGGTTTGAGCTGGGGTGGTTAGTAAAGGGCAGTAAATTCAGCTGGAAATACAAAGAAAATGGAACAAATGTCCTCTTTTATTTTAAATCTAATGACATAAAGTTCAAAGACAAATTTATAAAATTGATCATTTATTTAGCACACTCCATACACCAGATATTCTGCTAAGCTCACAACTTCATTCGATTATCCAACCGTCTCACCAGACAGATATGAAGACATTTTACAGAGAAGATGCTTATAGGGAGAAGCTCAAAGAGGTTAAGTAATTCCCTCTTCTTCCCTCTCCCCAAAATACTACCATATCTCTGTCTTCAAAGTCTGCCCAATGCCATAACACTGGTTTTCCTCATCAAGATATGACCTCCAGTTTTAATCTTTCCAATATTAACCTTTCTATTATCTGGCCACGTAATGCTGGAAAGGTCATTAAACTTCTTGAGGCCCCGGTTTCTTCATTTTTGCCAGAAAAAGATAGAACTCCATGATCTCCAAGATCTCCTCTGAAACTTGGGGTATCCAGCTCAGGCTTTGTCTCCACAATGTGATATTAGAAACACAGGGACACCTCAGGCTTGGGATGGGAAGGAACATTAACTACTAAAGAACCGTGGATAATTAAAAATCATCCACAAGCAATATGGAGTTCCTCATGTTCAACGATTAAGTGAATGAAGTTTGCATGTCCAGCAAAAACCCTACCCTGCTCTGCAATAAAATGTCCACCCAAGGGAGAAAGGAAAATCACATGATTTATAAATTGCCAGAAAAGGCATTCCTCTCATATTTCTTTAAAGTGTCCTGGTGTTATAATTAAGGAACTCAGTGGGGTGCCTCTGTTCACTATTAACCAAATGAATTCTGATGTGCTTGGATCAGGAAATGTGTGGTTTCACCACATTTCTGATTTTTAGTGTCCCTACTCTTCCCTCTTGATATTTCAAATCAACTGTGGCTTCCCTCAGCTTAGCTTTGATTATCCAATTTGAGCCTACTTGGTGAGCTCTTTATGAATAACCAACCAACTGCTCTGAATATGATTTTCCTTACCTAGAAAATAACCCTTCATATGCATATCTCTCCTTGTGTCCCTGAAAACCGAAAAGGATAAAAAGGGCATGCAATTCTGCATAAAGGGCTTGAGATTGAGCCAAGAAAATCAACTGATTGTAGGGCTTACAATAAGCCATGGCAACAATGAAATATTTTGAAATTTTCTTCTCTAAATTCTAAATAATTCGCCCAGGATGATCTAACTATATTGAAAAGAGCACTGAGTTTAGAATCAAATAGACCTGAGGGCAAATCTCAGCTCTGCAATTTACTAATATTTGACCCTGACCCTGAATGATCTATGGAATCACACCAAACCTCAAATTATTCATATGATAAGTGTCATCATTAATAGCCATTTCACCAAATTGTTGTGAAAATGCAATTAGTTTACTTGTGTTAAATCTTAGCATGATTCTGGTATAATCTTCCTTGTAAAAGTAACAGCCACCCTATATTAGATACCCAATATATGCCAGGCTCTGGGCTAAGAACTTCACATACATTAACTTCAGAGGTCACATCTAAACAACCCTGCAAGGAGAACCCTGTGTTATTAACTGTCTCTGAGAAGAGGAGATTGAGGTACAAAGAAGCAAAGCAACTGGTCCAAAGTCCCCCTGCCAGGCAAACAACCTTGGGATGGCTACTGCATCTTGTTATTTTTACAGGCATCAGCATAGATGTGAATCAGAAATGTGTGCTTTGAAATCTTCACTCTTCTGAAAAAATAATGAACCCAATTCAGAGAAAAAGTTCTCACCAATGAAGAAATAAAATTTTTGTAATGATATATACTTCAGGGAAGGAAGAAGGAAAACTCCACTTCATACACTTCCAGCTAAGTGGTACTTTGGCAGATAGTTTGACAGGGAGACAGTTAAAGGGATAAAAAGAGGCTCAACCATGGACTGTTGCCATGGGCATTCGGCTGGTACCCTGTGGTTACCCACATTTGCCTGGATCCATGCTTCTGCACTGGCCCAATCATGGGGCAGGTGGACTGCCTTTGCTTTTATGGGAAGCTTAGGAACTGTAGTTCCTAAGAGACATGTAGTTCCTCATGAGACAATCTTTGAAGACAACTTGGTGATCAGGAAGGAAAAATACTTTACTCATTGATATTTGAAATAGCCATAGTGCTTTCATGAGCTGAAAGCGATCTCAAGTAGGCAAGTTCACAGGTTTCTAGAGTTATCAGGCTTTCCACAGCTTTCAGAACATTAGATTCAACACTAAAACAATCTCACATAAAAATTTCTTTTGAAAACTTGAGGTCAATGAACTCCACTATGCCTCATATTCATGTCACCTTCAGTCACTGTCCTAAAGATAAGCCCCTGCAGTCATCTATTCTGTCCTTAACCACTAACACTAAACTAATATTTGGATCAGGGAGAAGCAAATGCCCACATCCCTTATTCACTCCTCAATCTTTCTGCTGTCTCCTCTAGAACTCCATTTCCTGATTATCAAAGTTTAGTGCATTTTCAACTTCCAGAAAGAAATCTTCCACCACTTCTTTGCTGAACCCAAACCTGGACCTCCCTCTGGGTGATCTTCTCTTCTACAGCCCTGTCTAGGTGCAGCTTTGGGTCTCTCAAGCCTCATTTGACATGGGGCTTGGAAGTGAAACAGTATTCTCATAGTTCTCTGTGCACTCTCAAATTCTTCTTCCCTTAATGAACAACCCCTGCACTCTGCAAGCTTATGCCTTCTAGTACACAATCCTAAATGCCTTTCTCTCACTACCATCAACCAACTCTCTCACATTCATCCCCAAATATTAAGAAGCCCCTGAGTCACACTGTCCTTTCCACCCCTAGTCTTACCATCATCCTGGGTGAATTCTGAGTCCGTGCACATACCCCATAAAATGCCTTGCCCCACAGTTCCTGGGCCTCCTCATTCCAATAACCTTCAATTCTACTCAAATTTTATTACCCACATGCATAACCACACCCTGAAGCTTGTCATCCCACAGAATTGCTTTACTAACGAAAATTTAATCTCTAATAAACCACAGCCTGACCACACAACCTACTTAAATTTCCTATTCTCTGTTAATTCCTTTAAACTTGTTTTTCAACTTCATTAAAAAAAAATGCTCTGACTCACTGCCCCGTGCTCCCATTTTCCCCAGTATGTGCCTTCCTGTCTTCACTTTCCTTCCCATCACGGCTTAAACCATCTCTTTAATCATTCACTTATGAATGATTTGAATTTTCTTGCTCCCTTTTGCTTCCTCCAAATGAGTCCACTACAATCCTGAATTTTTATCATTCCCACATCGGTCTTTCCCCCGATTCTACACTCAGGCAATGCAGGGAGAGAATTGTACAACATGCTTCTACAAATCCATGATCTGTATCCCTAGATATTACCACAATGATTTTCCTATATATCAATTGTTCCTTAACACCATCATTTCCTACGAAGGTTGCTTCAAATCTTTACTATATTCGAGTTACCCATCCCCTTATTCACAATAGATATCCTTACCTCAGTCTTCACCAAGAAAACAGAGCAATCAGGTAAAAATTCCCTTAACTTCCCATCCCTCTCCTCCCTCTACTCATACAACCGTGTCTTCATCAGCATCTTTTCTTACCTCCTTCCTACCCATCCCAGAGACAGCATCCTTTCTCTTATCTAAAACCAATACTCCAGCCCTAATCCCTTTGCCCCTTTTCTACTACTGGCCACCTGGGTTGTTGATGGAGCAGCTGGGAATGGGATGTGGGTACTCTGGCTTTAAGGTTTGGCACATTCTTATGAGCACATTTCAGCAGCACCAAAATTTCAAGAGAACTCACACTCGGGTATAAAGAAATGCAGAAATACCTTTGGTTATTGATCAGAAGAGTTCACAGAATAATGTTTGGTTCCCAGAGTGTTTGCTGTTCCAACATCAGGATGTGACCTGTATTAGTCTGTTCTCTCATTGCTGATAAAGACATACCCAAGACTGGGTAATTTATAAAGAAAAAGAGGTATAATGATCTCACCATTCCACGTGGCTGGGGAGGCCTCACAATCATGGTGGAAGGTGAAAGGCATGTCTTACATGGCAGCAGGCAAGAGAGAATGAGAACTAAGAGAAAGGGGAAACCCCGTATAAAGCCATCAGATCTCGAGAGATTTATTCACTACCATGAGAACAGTATGGGGGAAACCACCCCCATGATTCAATTATCTCCCACTGGGTCCCTCCCACAACTCATGGGAATTATGGGAGCTACAATTCAAGTTGAGATTTGTCTGGGGACACAGCCAAAACATATCATGACCCGTGATCCAGGATGTGATCACAGATGTGACATCTTACGGTCAAATTACCCATTTCCAAGTGCTTCTGAGATTGGAATGTATAGTTGGTCTCATAGAGAGAGACATAATTGCAAAGGGCCACTTTGGACATTACATAAACACTAGGAACTCACTATTTCTGGTGCCCCTTTCATTTATCCATCCCACTATCTGAATGGGGTGTGTGCTCATCGAGTTTGAATCAGTCCCATTGGCAGGTGACTCTAAGCCACTACTGCTGCAGTTGGCCTTCCCCATGTCAAATCATAAAGACTTTAGATCAGATGTCCTTCACTGACCCACAATCAGGACCAGGATATTTAGGTTTGTTTTCTTTGGTGCACATGGGCCTAAGACAGAGTCACTTTCAGCAGCTTCAGTTACTTGGGGCTCCTTTTCTCAAAAAACACTAAGGATGTGGAAGGATGCAGAGTGATGATAAATATAGATAATTATAAAAGCTGCAGAATGGAGAGTTGCTTTGTATATAAATATTCACACTTTTAAAGCCCATTTTTTAAGTTACCATATGCTTTGTTTACTGCTACTGTCATTTTTACTCCTTTATGCCAGCTAGACTGATACCACACATTTTCTGTAAACACACACAATTTGATATATCATGATTTCTGTGGTTGTGATAGTTTTGCAATTACCCAACTGATCCTGGCTCTGGATGATTTTCTTTAAGCACTAAACACCACCTTAAAGGAGAAAAAAAGCATAGAAATAGAGTTGGCTTTTCTAAATCCTCACCACTTAATTTTAGTTGTTCTCACAAATAAAAGTACAAAAAGTCTGACAGCTTTTCCCATATTATAACATGACAAACATGGACTTTTTAATGGGGTCTTTTTTTTCTTGTAAATTTATTAATTTCCCTATAGATGCTGGATATTAGAACCTTCATAGATGCTTATGATTATATTTTTGGCTTTACAGAATTCCACAGACATTGTAAGTAGAGCACATATTATTAAAACATATTATCTTTCTTTAGAACATTTAGTAATCTTTGAATTAATTAATGAGATTTTGTTTCATGGTACACTTAAATCCCCTCACCCAAAATAATATCAACAAGATCTTAGCACACTTGGCACACTTAAACCTCCCATCCAAAATAATATCAATAAGAACTATCATTCATTGCATGCTTATTATTATTAAGCTGTCTGTTAAGCATCGTAGTTTTTTTTTTTCTAACTATATGAAATGGCTTTATTAGTTCCATTTTTACTGAAGAGGAAACTGAAGCTAATAGAGATCAAACACCTTTTCTAATTTCACAATTAGTAAATGGTGGTGCTGAACTTGAAGCAAAGCCTAATTCCAGAGCTGAAGTTTGAGCTTTTAATAATAAAGCATATTTTACCTCCCCAAACATACCTATCTTACATATGAGTCTTTTTGCTTCTTGCTCTTTCTGCTGCTTGGAGGGGTTTAAAATGAAGTAGTCTTTCTGCTGTTATCAAGCAATTAACTTATAAGCAATTTTATGCACAAAAAACAGCTAAATTCTAAAACAAATCTTCAAGTATTTTTTAACTTTTATTTTAGGTTCAGGGTACGCATGCAGGTTTGTTATAGAGGTAAACTCATGTCACAGGGATTTGTTGTACAGATTATTTCATCACCCAGGTACTAAGCCTAGTACTCATTAGTTATTTTTTCTGATCTTCTCCCTCCTCCCACCCTCTACCTTCCACCCTCAAGTAGACCCCAGTGTCTGTTGTGTCCATGTGTTCTCATCATTTAGCTCCCACTTATAAGTGAGAATATGTGGTATCTGGCTTTTTGTTCCTGCATTAGTTTGCTAAGGATGATGGCCTCCAGCTCCAACCATGTTCCTGCAAAAGACATGATCTCATTCTTTTTTATGGCCGTGTAGTATTCCATGGTATATATGTACCACATTTTCTTTACCCAGTCTAGCACTGATGGGCATTTAGGTTGATTCTGGGTCTTTGCTATTGTGAATAATGCTTCAATGAACATACGCATGTATGTGTCTTTATGGTAGAACGATTTATATTCCTCTGGGTATCTACCCAGTAATGGGATTGCTGGGTTGAATGGTAGTTCTGTTTTTAGCTCTTTGAGGAAAAAGCCACACTGTTTTCCACAGTGGTTGAGCTAATTTACACTCCCATCAACAGTGTATAAGTGTTCCCTTTTCTCTGCAACCTTACCAGCACTTTTTTTTTTTTTTACTTTTTAATAATAGCCATTCTGATTGGTGTGAGATGGCATCTTATTGTGGTTTTGATTTGCATTTGCTCCAATGGTCAGTGATATTGAGCTTTTTTCAGACACTTCTTGTCCACATTCATGTCTTCTTCGGAAAAGAGCCTGTTCATGTCCTTTGGCCACTTTTTAATGGGGTCATTTGTTTTTTCCTTGTAAATTTATTAATTTCCTTATAGATGCTAGATATTAGAACTTCATCAGGTGCATAGTTTGCAATCATTTTTTCCCATTCTGTAGGTTGTCTGTTTATTGATAATTTATTTTGCTGTGTAAAAGCTCTTAAGTTAAAAACTCTCAATAAACTAGGTATTGAAGGAACATATCTCAAAATAATAAGAGCTGTCTATGAAAAACCCACAGCCAACATCATACTAATTGGGCAAAATCTAGAAGCATTCCCCATGAAAACCGGCACAAGATAAGGATGCCCTCACTTACCACTCCTATTCAACGTAGTATTGAAAGTCCTGGCCAGAGCAATCAGGCAAGAGAAAAAAAATAAAGTGCACCCAAATAGGAAGAGAGGAAGTCAAACTATCCCTGTTTGCTGATGACATGATTCTATATCTAGAAAATCCCACAGTCTCGGCCCAAAAACTCCTTTGGCTAGTAAACAACTTCAGCAAAGTTTCAGGTTACAAAATCAAGGTACAAAAATCACTAGCGTTCCTATGCATCAACAACAGCCAAGCTGAGAGCCAAATAAGGAACACAATCTCATTCACAATTGCAACAAAAAGAGTAAAATACCAAGGAATACAGCTAACCAAGAAGGTGCAAGATCTCTCCAGTGTGAATTACAAAACATTGCTCAAAGAAATCAGAGATGAAACAAACAAATGGAAAATCATTTGACGCTTGTGGATCAGAACAATCAATGTTATTAAAAAGGCCATATTTCCCAAAGCAATTTATAGATTCAGTGCTATTCCTGTCAAACTACCAATGACAGTTTTTTTCACAGAAGTAGAAAAAACTATTTTAAAATCATATGGAGAAAAAAAAAAAACCCAAACTGGTAAGGCAATTGTAAGCAAAAAGAACAAAGCTGAAGCATCGTGTTACTTGATATCTTCAAACTATACTACAGGGCTACAGTAACAGAAGCAGCATGGTACTGGCACAAAAATAGACAGTAGACCAATGGAAGAGAATAGAGAGCCCAGAAATGAGGCTGCACACCTACAACCATCTGATCTTCAACAAAGCTGACAAAAACAAGCAATGGAGAAAGGACTTCCTATTCAAAAGTTCAAGTGTTTTAATCTAATAGAAGATATTAATATATCTCTTCTCTACCTTGTAAAATATTTATGCTGATCTTGACTTCCATTGTCTTTAGATATTTGTATAACTTAGTTTTAGCATCTTTGAAGTATACAGTAAAATAGCTTTGAAAAGCAAAGACAAGTTATTCTTTGGAAATGAAACCTATTTCTTAAATGTTATTGACAATAATAGTAATAATAGAAATAAAGTTTCATTAAATCTCACACCTAATGGTATCATATCTTTTACAGGTTCACCGATTTGGCAGTACAAACAATACACCATACAATCAAAAGTAAGACAGGTATTTTTCTATTAATTCCAGTAGCGGACATATTGCACAGTAACTGCCAGAATACCTAATTCCTTTGAAAATCAGCCTTCATTGCCTCTGGCGCAATTTTAGTTTTGTTAAAACTGACAATTATGTAATTAAAAATAAACTATATTAAAATTTAAAATATCAGATTAGCATCACCAATAGAATAGGTAGTGATTTTAAAATGTAATTGCTTTTAAAGGACAAGTTTATATGTTGTAATTATGTATGAACATCAACTTTTTTTTAATTTCACATCAAAAGTATCATCAGATAAGCCGAGGAAGTAAAGAAGAAGAGTAACACATTCAAATTAGGAGCCTGAGAGAGGGCTAAACAGACCCCCTCTGTTCATGTATGCCTAATTCACAAAGCTTTGAGACTTTCCCTCAAGTGGTCTATCTTTTGGCCCCACTAATGTTAACAGTGTTGCTATTGGCAGCCTACCATTTTCTCTCTCAAGGGAAGAAATGTGATACAGCTGTCACACTAACGCATTCTGGATATTTAAAATTCCAATTGAGCCATGCTGTCTATGATGGATTTTGGAGACGTGAACTGTTATCAAAGAGGAAGTAAGATAAAATGCTGGGCTAAGTTCATGTTAGGCCACTGGCTTATCTGAATCCATATTCCCAGAAAAGCCATAACAAAGTGACCCTAGTCATGATTTTTCTCAGGAGTCTTTCTTGAGTTGTCATTTCATCCCTGACTGACTACTGCACAACATGAAATCAGCAAGATTCTCCACAATGCCTTCCACAGCATATACGTACAC
This sequence comes from Homo sapiens, assembly GCF_000001405.40. NCBI lineage: Eukaryota > Metazoa > Chordata > Mammalia > Primates > Hominidae > Homo > Homo sapiens. The sequence goes on from NC_000012.12 coordinate 75,831,816, forward strand.
CTCCAATGCCTATAGCTCTGCTTTATTGAGGCAGTTTAAGAAAGTAGAGAAAATTGAATAATAAATATATAAATATGGTTAGTTAACAGAAAGCTGTTTCACAAAGGCCTAGGGTAGCTTCAGGACTTTCAGAAGTGCACTGCCCTGAGAAACCATTTGCCTGTGGACCAAGTTTGCTTTTAAGGATTAAGCCATGTGACTCCCAAGTTTTCTCATTGCAATTAAACATGTAAATGTCCATGGTGAAGGAACAAAATTTTGCAAAGGTTAACCAGATCCCAAAGGTTAGGGGAAAAAGACACACTAAGATTAACTACCTCAGATATACCAGAAACACTTTGGGCAGAACAGCAGAGCTTCTGGACAGGAAACTAGAAAAGCTCCATTTTAATATTGCCTGTCACAAACAATAGAAGAAAGAAAAGGAAGAGAAAGAAGAGGTCAGGAACATGTTATTTCAAACTTTTATAAATAAAATTTAAAGATTATTCTCCTTGGTACTACTTAGGATTGAGGCTCTAATACATGTGCCATTTTAAGCTCATCTCTGGAAACAACATGTAAAGAATTTGAAGGTATTTGCTTTATCCTACTGTCCTGTGTGAAGTCTGATTTATAAAATGAAATGGCTTGGCTGGGTGAGGTGGCTCATGCCTGTAATCCCAACACTTTGGGAGACTGAGGCAGGTGGACTGCTTGAGCCCTGGAGTTCAAGACCAGCCTGGGCAAGATAGTGAGACACCCATCTCTACAAAAAAACACTTAAAAATTAGCTGGGTGTGGTGGCACACATCTGTGGTCCCAGCTACCTAGGAGGCTGAGATGGGAGGATCGCTTGAGCCTGGGAGGTCAAGGATACAGAGAGCCATGATTCTGCCACTACATTCCAGCCTGGGCAGCAAAGCAAGACTGTCTCAAAAAAACAAATAATTTTTTTAAAATAAATAAATAGAATTTTTTTTCCTGAATGGAATTGTGATAGTAATAACAGCCACCATTTATCAATTAATAGAGGGCTTACTATTTGCCATGCATGGATCTAAGCACTTTACAGACATTAACAACCATATGAGGTAGTTATTAATATTATCATTTTCACAGATGAATGGCTGAGGCTCAGAGGAGTAACCAGATCTTCCTCCCTTGTCAGTGCCCGATTCAAGCATCTTCTCTGAGAAGCCTCTACCTCTGACCTCACCTACTCCAGGCTTCCTCCATCACTCCTTCCTCTGAGCTGCCTTGCACCTGGTATATTCCTCCTCCATGGAAACCATCACACAGTAATTATGATTATTGGTCTGAACAGCTTTCTCCCCAGCAATGCTAAGAGGGCAGAGGTCCCATCTTGGGTTTTTTGTACTCTCAGACCCTGTTATGCTGCTTGATATACATAATAGAGATTCAAGAAATGTTCATGATAAATGAGTGAATGAATGAATGAATGAATGAATGGAGAAAGTAAACATTTAGGAAAAGAAAACATTATAGGGAAAGGCCCTAGTGGGGAAGCAATATTTAAATAATGTAAGGACACATATCCAAAAGTTATTCTAACACTTACTTTGGATTTTATATGCATATACTCTGTCTTCCAATTTCCCTATCTGTCAGAATAGCCAGTAAATGCCAACATTCTTCTCAAACAGAATGACACAATGTTGTAAGACATGACAATCTTTGTCATGTCATTGTAAGAAAGAGTGCTGGATTTAGAATCCTACCTGAGTTTGAGACCTGACTCTACTGACCTGGGGCAAATCAGTCAACCATCTGAGCCGCTTTTGCTCATCTGTGACATAGGATCACTTCCACCCATGCACCTACCTCACATGTTCACGCAGCGATTTAGAGAAATCAAACTGTATATGCAAATGCATTCAATAGGTATAAAGAATAATACAAATGTTAATGGCCATAATAGATGGCTGTTATGAGGGACTGATCACTCTGGCTAACTTGGAGTCGTGTGGCATGGGGAAGGTAAATGGCAGCTAGCTTCTATTGAGCACCCACTCTGTGCCAGGCACCATGCAAGCACTTCATGTACATGACCTCACTTTACCCAAAGCTACTTGAGTAATTAACCCAAAGCTATTCATAAAGGGTCAAGCTGGGAACTGTTGTCATGTCTTATTGATTTCAAAGCTCATAATCTTTATCTCAACACTCTGCTGTCTCTTTGGAACATCAGTTGTCAGTGTACAAAATTACCTGAAAGTTAGAACATATGGTTAAAAGTTCTGGCTGTCAGGATTCAGAAAAACTTTGAATATTTGTTATATTAAAATCTTGGCTGGGCATGGTGACTCCTACCTATAATCTCAGCACTTTGGGAGGCCAAATGGGAGGATTGCTTGAGCCCAGGAGTTCGAGACCAGCCTGGACAACATGGCAAAACCCCATCTCTACAAAAAAATACAAAAATCAGCCAGGCATGGTGCTGCATACCTGTAGTCCCAGCTACTCAGGAGGCTGAGGTGAGAGGATCACTTGAGCCTGTGAAGTCGAGGCTACAGTGAGCTGTGATCACACCACTGTACTCCAACCTAGGCAATAGAGCAAGACCCTACTGAAAAAAAAAAAAAATCTATTGGCATCTTTCACATTGATGTTTATGAGACAGTCAGTCCTTTTACTTGGAGTTTAAAGGTAGATGGCCCTTTAATAAATAACAGCTTTCTGCCCTAACCAAGCTCACAACCAACAGACAGACAGACCTGAATCCGAGCCCAGTGAAGATCATAACACACGTATTGTTGATCGAAGCGAAACTGAAGGGTGTATCTCCACGTTGCAGCCTCAGTAGCTTCCTTATGTGCCACCCCATCATACAGCCTTACCCCCTAATCACTGGCATCACTCGCTGTCCACAGACATTGCCCAGAGCAGCAACTTGCTTCATGGCAGAAAGGGGATGAGAATGCACCCTTTTAGTGGGCTGACAGACAGGAATAAACAGACATGCAGGAGCGTAACAGAGGATGTTCATTAATCAAACTCATTAGTCACCAAAGTCCTGCTCCAATGAGCATGACTAAAGAGGCCAAGAGAACCTGGAAGTATTCCTTCCCATATCTGCCTTCCTAAGGCATGGAGTAAATTTCCTGTTCCTTGTGCCTGTTCCTCTATGGAAATATGATGCATGGGAATAGATGCATTGTGGGCATTTTGTTTCAAAAATGGAGAAAGGAAGGGTTCGTTCTAGAAATCTGAGCCAATGAGGATCGATTCTTTTTTTTTTTTTTTTTTTTTTTTAATACGGAGTTTTGCTCTGTAGCCCAGGCTGGAGTGCAGTGGTAGGAACTCGGCTACCTGCAACCTCCGCCTCCTGGGTTTAAGCAATTCTCCTGCCTCGGCCTCCTGAGTAGCTGGGATTACAGGCATGCACCACCACTCCCAGCTAATTTTTGTATTTTTAATAGAGATAGGGTTTCACCATGTTGGTCAGGCTGGTCTTGAACTCCTGACTTCGTGATCTGTCCGCCTTGGTCTCCCAAAGTGCTGGGATTACAGGCGTGAGCCACTGTGCCTAGCCGATTCACTCTTATATTTATACTAATGGAAAATAACTAAAGGAGAAACCTCAGAACATGATGCACAGATGCTTAAAGACCCTATTCAACGTATCAGCCCAACTTGGGGATGTGTGTATGTGTATGTATGTATGTGTGCACATAAACATGCACAAACTCATACATTCTTTTAATCCTATGGGTCACTGTGAATCTGATATGGTGGTTCTTAGATGGGGAGGAGGGCACTTTTGCCATGCTAGTGGATAGATATTTCGCACTGTCTGGGGACATGTTTGGTTGTCATAATGGATAATACTATTGGCATCTAGTGGGTCATGGCCAGGGATGTTGCTTTTACAGGGCACAGGGCAGCTCCCCACAACAAAGGCTTTGCTGACCTGAAACATCAAGAGGGACAAGCTTGAGAAACCTTGACATCACAGTGGTAGGGCAGAGAACACCAACCTAAACTGAATATTCCATAGACAGTACACGTAACACAGTAACTTTATTGGCCAGACCACATCTGTCAATGTAACTGATCTATACTGTAATCACAGGAACACTATGAACTGTAGATGTGAGAGGCAGGCAATGATATACTTTACTAATTTACCCAGCTGCCTGTGCTCGCTGATGTCCACAGAATATCATTTTTTAGATTTAAAATGTCAACTTAATATATATCTCTCTGTCCTAGCTCCACTCAAACCTCACTAAATGGAGGTACTGGCCTCACCTCCTGGACTCAATTTCCTTCTTCCTAATTCAAATGGTCTCTGATATTACCTGCATGCCTGAGGGCTGCAAGCAGGCTTTATGTATGAGTGACCACAGGGCTAAAGATCTTGCCATCGATTAAATCCCATCATTCCTTTCTGCAGGCCTCTAAGGACTCTTCTACCCTCTCCACACCAGGCACAGTGGGGGCTAACCCAATAATGCCAGATAAGAGAACAAGTGACCAAGGTAAAATTATCAACAAATATACAAAAGGGCTGGCAGCATCATATGGGAGCCATAATACCCTCTTCTTTCCTGAACCCAACACTGCAATATTTGAAAATACCCACAGGCTTTCTTTCAAACAAGAAAAATGCCTCTTGAGACTCCAATCCCAGCTGAAAATTTAGCTGGCAGTGAAGAGCCTATCCACTAACCTCAAGGTCAGCTAAATATCTAGTCTTTTTTCATAGCATGATCAAGTTTTACATCCTGTGTTTGGCAAGGAAGGATTTACTTAAACAATATTTATATTATATTCTTAAAATAAACCTGAGCCTAGGGAAAAAAATATAACCCCATGTCCATAGCAAAACACCAAAGAGCTGCTGGGTGGAGAAGCTATGGCTTAGGTTTCAATTTAATTCTTATTTGCTCAAATGCCAAAGTAATTTTTCCATGAGGAGAATGAGGTCATTCTTCACAGAAAGGGATCACTGTCTCAAAATTCATATGACCAGGAAACACAAGACCAATATAATGAGAGGTTTCAGAAATGTGAACTAAATAAAGTGGACTTAAGATACAAATCTGTACATGTGACTTAAGCCCAGAGATACATTAACAGTATACCATGAATCCTTTGCTTTTTTCCTAGGAAAGTGTATCCTCCCATACCCAGCCCACCCCATACCAAAGGGTCCCCTACTGTTACACAACAGTAGGGCTTTTCCAAACAAACCACATGAGAACACCAGTGGGCTGGTTCCCCAGGGCTTCCTTGGTGCCTTAGGGGGAGCCAAGTCCCTGGTTGGTTTGGTGGGGTCTTGAAATAGATTAGGACATGTGCCCCGAGTTATTACAAATATAAATACCAATGATAGCATGCAGGCAGAGGAAACAGAGGTGCCACAATATCATCTGTTTGCATCTGGATTCTATATTGCCTTGCCTACTTTTCCATCTCACCTGCGTATACAGCGTATACTGCGTATACAGTATAGCATGAGGATAAAAAGGAGGAGCTGTTCAAATCCCAGTTTTGCCCTGTCCCACACATTTGACTCTAGGAAAGTTATGTGATTCTCTGTTACTTGGTTTCCCCATCTTTAACATAGTGAATAATAACAATATTGGGCAATTGGGCCACCAGGATTGTTAAGAAACAATATTATTATGAGCTAAGTACAGAACCCAATATTCGGTAAGTTTGTAAATACTATTTTGTACTTACTACACTAACTTTTATGGTTCAAGATTTGGATTGAAAGATTTAAAAAAGCAAAAGACTAAAAGACTTCAAGTATTATCCAACTCAGACCCACTTTAAGAAATAGGAGCTCAGGGAATCTACATGATGCATCCGTAGTTACATAGCTCGTTAGCAACAGGATGAGATTAAAACCCAGGTTCCTTGACTCCTGGACCAGTGCTGTTAGGGGGGAAAATGGTGTAAAAATTTTCAAAGAAATACATTAATCAATTCTCCTGCCAGGGAAATTGTGGATACTTTCATGTAGTAGAAGCATGTCTTTTAAAGTTTGTGGCCTGCATTCATTCAGCCAGACCAGGCATTTGTTGCAACAGAAACAGCTGGTCCAGCCGGGACTTGTCACACAGTCACCCCAAGCCTCTAAACGAGCCATTATCTGGCAACAGCAGATTGGGACCATCTGTCACTGCAGTGCACATATGGCCCCACTAGTTTGCAAGAATAAGGTTGTCACAAAAGGTCATTAACTATGCATCACTTTTTTGTGATGAGCTCTAAGCAGACACAATGATCCTCCCATTTTATTTCAAATCCTCTAATTCTCTTCAGCACCTAGAGAAGCTGAGGCCCAATAAATCAGAAGTCTTCCTGCTATGGTCTCTAGCAAATCCCAGAAAGGGTTCCATTTATTTGCTTCCTTACCTTTTGAAGAGTTTAAGTTCTTTTTAAAACATATTTTACATTCTCTTTATAAAGAATCCCAGAAGGACTGAAGGTTTGTAAATAGTGCCTAATGCAACATAAAGACTGGGTTTGCTTTAAATATACTTGAGAAAAGTAGAAAAACAAGGGTAAGCAAGGCCAACTATTTGGGATAGACAGAATTGTAGCAACAGAGAACACAGTTAAGAGAGAATCATACCAAGACATAACAAGTATTTGCAAGGGTGTGGAGAAACAGGAACCCTTGCACGCTGTTGAATGTCAATTATTATAGCCCTTATGGAAAAGAGTATAAAGGTTGCTCAAAATAATCAAAAATAGAATTACTATATGACTCAGTAATCTCACTTCTGAGTATTTAAGGAAATGATATCAGTATGTCGAAGTGCCATGTTCATAGCAGCATTATTCATAATAGCCAAAATATGGAATCCACTTAAGTACCCATCCGTGGATGAATGGATAAAGAAAATGTCCCATACATACACAATGGAATACTTTTTAGCTTTAAAAAAGAAGGAAATTCTACCATTTGCCACAAGGTGGATGAACCTGGAAGATATTATGTTAAGTGAAAAAAGCCAGGCACAGAAACACAAATATTGCATGACTTCATTCATGTAGAATCTAAAAAAGTCAAACTCATAGAAGCAGAGAGTAGACTGGTGGTTCCCAGGGGCTGTGGTGTGTTGGGAGGGAGATATTGGTTGAAATACAGAAAATTTCAGTCAGATAGGAAGAATGAGCTCAAGAGATCTACTAAACAATATGGAGATTACAGTTAATAACAACATATTATATTCTTGAAAATCACTGAGAGACTAGATTTTTAAGTGTTTCCACTACAAAAAAGTGTGAGGTAATTTATATGTCAATTAGCTCAATATAGCCAATTCACAATATATATCTATTTTAAAATATCATTTTGTACACTATATATATACACAATTTTTATTTGTCAATTAAAAATTAATTCGTTATTTTTAAAAAGAAAGAATCATACCTTTCTTGTTTGGTTTCTGCAAATAAATACAAGGACAACTACCTAAAAACTACTAGAGCCTATCAAGTGTCTTTTTAAAAAAAAATGCTCAGATACAGTGCTTTTAAAATATGGCTTCAGATTCTTTGATATTTATTTTGATAAAAGGTCAGGTCTATGTATTGTCATCATAGTTATGGGTGGCCTTGTGATTACTTAACCTAACAAAGTAAGGTAGAAGTGATACTATATGACTTCAGAGGCTAGGTTATAAAAGGCCATGTAGCTTCCACCTTATTTCTAAACACACTTATTCATTTCTATTCAATTTCAATAACTTTAGGAGTGTAAGTGGTTTTCGGTTACCTGGATGGATCGTATAGCGGTAAAGTCTGAAATTTTAGTGTACCTGTCACTCAAGTAGTATACATTTTACCCATTATGTTGTTTTTATCCATCACCCAGAGTCTCCAATGATGGTTATAACCATTCTGTATGCCTCTGCTGCAAAACACATTATTTTATTCTTTTTTATAGCTGAGTAGTATTCCCCGGTGTATATATGCCACATTTTCTTTATGTAGTCATTGGTTGTTGGGAACTTAGGCTGGCTCCATATCTTTGCAATTGTAACTTGTACTGCAGTAAACATATGTGTGCAAGTGTTTTTTAATTCTTTTTTTTTTTTTGATAGAATGACTTATTTTCCTCTGGATAGATACACAGGAGTGGGATTGCTGGTTCAAATGGTAGATCTTCTTTTAGTTCTTTGAGACATCTCCGTACTGTTTTCCGTAGAGGTTATACTGTACATTCCCACCAGCAGTGTATAAACATTCCCTTTTCACCACATCCATGCCAACATCTATTGTTTTTTGACTTTTTTTTTTTTTTGAGACGGAGTCTCACTCTGTTGCCCAGGCCAGAGTACAGTGGCGCAATCAAGGCTCACTGCAAGCTCTGCCTCCTGGGTTCACGCCATTCTCCTGCCTCAGCCTCCCGAGTAACTGGGACTACAGGCGCCTGCCATCACGCCCAGCTAATTTTTTGTATTTTTAGTAGAGATAGGGTTTCACCATGTTAGCCAGGATGGTCTCGATCTCTGCCATGGTGGTGGTGTAAGGTAAAACACACACTAACTCTTAAAGCCCTGTCCCACCATGTAAAACGTTTAAATATCCTGAAGCCTCCAAACTGTGGGGGAAGCCTAACTCACATGTAGAGTTCAGAAGTGAGCAGGTGTTCCAGCTGATAGTCCTGCCTGGACCTAGCCTTCATGTCATCCCCACCAGGGCACTCTAGATAATTCCACTCTCCAGTCATACCATTCTTCCCAGCTGAGGCCCCAAATATAATAGGGCAGCAACATAGTCATCACTACTTTGTACTGTTTGAATTTCTGATGCACATAATCTATCGGTAGAGTAAAATGGCTGTTGTTTTATACTTCTAAGTTTGGTATAGTTTGCTATATAGTGTAGGAAAACAGCTTATTGCATGGCAAGAGTAATGCCATCTTGAAGCAAAACCACCATAATGACTGATGTCTGACTCCTGCAGCAAGGTTAAGAAACACCTATAGTATAGATAACCCCTCATAAAGAAACAATGCCTGTAGCATAAATAACCCCTCATAAAGAAGCAATGCCTGTAGCATAGATAATCCCTCATAAAAACACTTAACTAACTTCCCCAGTGGTGAGTTTCACAAGAGGGTTGAAGACATGACCAGTTGCACATTTTACCAAAAAAAGCTTGCTAAATAAGGAATACTCTCTGGAGGGCAGGTATGGGGATCCACTGTCTAGAGGCCATCCCAAGACACGGCTTCTGTTCCTAAGTTTCTCTTAAACGTTCCTCTCAGAGAAACTGCATTTGTCAGTCTCTTTCTTCAGCCTCTCAACTCCCTCAGCCTTTGAGGTTAGGTTTGCATAGACCTGCTCACTGTGGAACATACAGCAACAGATAATCAGAACAGAACTGAGATAGTCAAAGCATCTCTGGCTATTGTTTATGAATGTAATGAGAGAAAGAAAGAGAAATAGTCCTCTGCCACTTTATGCTATATGTGTTATCTCATTTAATCCTCACAGAAGTTATGCAAATTTAGGATTATTTTTCCCACCATTTACGCTCTGAGAGGTTTAAAACAACTTGCCCAGGGATGAAACTAAAATCTGCACCTGGGACTATTTGACCCCATACATCTATCACATCTCACTTCTGCTCAATTGTCCAGAATCAGCTACATGTTCCCAGAAGTCACAGAACACTGTAAGTAAAACCAGCTTTTACATTCAATGAGTTGCTTTTTGAGCACCTCTCTCTGCCAGATATTGTGCTCAGTGCTCATATCAAGTGAGCAAAATAAGCTCATATTGGTCCCTTCCTCCAATCTTATGTCTGCTCTTGTTGACCCGTTTTTCCACATCAGAGGTAGTTTTTAAAATCCACATCTGTAAGATATTCCCCCTGCTTAAACTTTTGCAGGGGTTTCTCTCTAGCCCATGCCACAGCGATTCACAAACTTGATCCAATAACTGGTGCCAAGGCTGACTGCATGAAAATCAACCAAGGCATGCTATGGGCATAGAGATTCCCAGTCTTTGCTTGCAGAGATTCTGATTCAGGAAGCTCCCCAGTGGCTCCTGTGTGCAGCCATGTTGGCAAACGCTGGCCAAGAGGTTAACATCAAATTCTTCCACATGGCATATGAAGTCCAGCATAATCTGACCCCTACTCAACCCTCTAAACTCACCTTCTGCTACTCCTTCGCCTAACGCATCATTCCACAAACACATCTTTGAGGCCTCTTGGTCTCTGGATATTCTGTTCCTTACACAAGAAATGCATTTCCCTCACTGAACTGTTTGGTGAAATCATCTGCTCTTCCCTGAGCATTCCCTGGCTCCCCTTACAAACAGAGTCAATGTCCTTTCCCTGTATTTCCATTGCCCCTCATACCTATCTCCAGTCACTTAACTCAGGCTAAGTGATGTGCTGAAGCCAGGGACCCAGGCTTATTCACTTTAGAATCCCCAGGGTTAGCACAGTGCCCCATTTATCAAAGATAGTCAACAAACGTTTGCTGAATGAATAACCCAATGTGTTTCCTTTCAGCTCTAGCTGCCAAGAAATGCAGAGCCAAATTCAGTTACCAAGTATAGTAATTAGCTCATCCCAGGTGCCTGGTAACATCTGCTCCCTGCTTCTTTGAGATGGTCTCTGTTTTCTTTTTAGCCATAATTGTCCTATTTCACATTAGGTTTAATTTAGTATGTTCTTTCACATCCCTTTGAAAGAAGGTGGGATATAAGTTCTGAATAAATCAATAGATACAGAGTTCCTCAAAAGACACCTGCGTTGGCATAGCATAAGAGTAAGGGGAGAAAATTACTGGAAAATATGCTATGTTTCTCAAATCAAATGATTAATACTTCTTCATGTTTTCTTTAATGAATAAAAATAAATAACTGTGAGGAAATCCCACCCAGATGAAAGCTTATTCATTTAACAAATAGTTACTGAGCACCTACTTTGTATAAGGCATACTGGTGACATGAACAGCGAAGACATGATTAAGATCCTAGAAATCAAAGAGCTTACTGTGGGGTAGGTTAGAGGAGACCTGTATATAAACACAGTCTTGCAAATTATGAAGTGATCATGTCTATACTAAGAATGCAAGAAGAGAATGGATTTCTACCTGTTAGAGTCCAAGAAGGCTTCACTGAGGTCATACAGTCTGACCTGGGCCTTAAACGATGCATAAGATTTAGACATGTAAAAAAGCCTTGGTCTTAGAACGTCTGCCTCTGTCTAGCTTTTTTTACATAAGAATGTATGGCAGGCAAACTATGGGTTGGCTGGATGAGACTATCTAATACTTATCGAACTCTCATTTAATATAATTCCTGGAGTAATATATGCACCAGGCTTTATATTACATGGCTTATTATGTTTTTGGTCTTCAAATAACCCTATGGGCTAAACAGATAAAGAAACTGAGCCTTAGAAGTTACATGACTTGCACAAGGTCACACAGCCACATGTGCCAGAGCTGAGACCCAATCAAGGCAGACTCTAGGGCTTTACACTTAAGCCCTCCCAGACACTTATTCAAGGAGCAAAGATTTATACCTGGGAGCAGGAGATGAGACCAGAAAGACAGGCTGAGGTTGGATGGCAAAGGCCTTCAAGGCCAATATAAGGACTGTGACTTTCATTCTGTTAGCAATGCAGAGTCACTGATGACTTTTTAAGAGGAGAAAAAAATGATAAATTGTACGGGCATTATAAGATTAATGAATGAATTACTAAGTGAATCAATCAAAGAATTTTTAGGGTAAATTAATCAAGCATCAGCATAATAATAGATTGAAGGAGAGAGATATTGAAGAAATGAAACCAACAGATTTTTTAAAAAACAAACAACAGCAACAAAAAAAACAAAACCAGGTAACAAAGGCCTGAATAGGACAATGAGAGAGAAAAGAAAGAACAAACATGGAGAGTGATCAGACATGGAATAATGTCATGCTCTGGAGCAACAGAAAGGACAATGATGTGAGAAAAGTGTGTGGTAGGGGTCTAGGAGAAGAGATTCAGGGGCTAGCAGGAGCCTCATGGAGCTGTTCTATAGGATGAGGTCAGGAGAGAGGTCAGGGGAAAAATGATGGAATTAGAAGTCATCCACATAGAGGAAATCATGAAAACCATGACATGAAGAAAATTTCCAAGACCAAGTATATCAAGATAAAATATGGAGAAACACAGTATAAGACGTGAGGAGAAGAAGGGGAATCAGAAAATGCCAGGTGGTAGAAATGAAGCAAAGAAGAAAGGTATCTTAAGATGAAGGGAAAGTGAGGGGGGAAATGCAGGCAGGGAAGGCTTTGAGAAAGAGAACTGACAAAAGGCCATCTAATCTATTAAATGAGAAGTGACTCTTAAGACAGGTCATGGTAGATGAAAAGGAAAAAGCCAGCTAACAAGGAGATGAAGAATGCTGGAAACCGACAGAAGTGTAATACAGGTCAGGGGTTGCAAACCCAGATGGGGCCAGATAGATAACACGCAAGGATAAAGCAGGCTGAGTGCAAGACGATCATGCAGCACTCTGGGTCTTTTACTTCCCACATTTGACAGAAGCATCAGTACGGTGAAATACTTCTGTATCTAAGAAAAACAAGGGTGCAAGGCAATGATAAATGGCAACTGACACTTTGTCTCAGCGTCGAAGACAATATGGAATGGTGGGGCCTGTGGTGAGCTAGAGAACGTATGCCCCATCTGAAGGCAGATGCAGAAACTCAGCTCCAACAGACTGTCGTCGTGTGAGAATGTGGGCCCAGTGTTACCAGTTCCCCAATGTGTCAAGAGAAAGAGAAATTTAGATTTTTATGCAAATCTCCCAAATTTTAAACATTGGAAAGAAAACATGACATAGGCCAACAAAACAGGTTTTCAGGCATAATCTAGCTCACTGCCTGCCAGTCTGAGACCTGCTGAATTCACTATGTCTCCATTAAGTTTAGCAATGAAAAAATGAGAAGGTAGAATGGTAGAATCGGGGGAAAGGCTTTTTGTTTGTTTTAGGATTAGAAAGAACTGAGTATTTTTGTTGGCTAACAGGAAAGATAGCCTAATGATCAACAGAAAGAGATTTGAAGTAGCATGAAAGAGGGTGCAAACTAACATAACAAAGGTTTGTTTCATTGTGTTGGTTTCAGTATGCATTTTTTTATTAAAAATCTTTGTTAAGTACTATTTAGAATTAATTGATCAACAAGAAGTGACAATCGTATGAAACATGCTATTGTTACTTCATTTTGTAAAGAAGCTGGCCCCGCTGGCAGCTAGGATAATTTTATTATTGAAACAACGCTTGTGATGTGCCAACAGGGACTGTCATCATGGATAAAGAACATGTCACTCAGCAGCTAGCACCCCTCTTTTCAAACAATGGAAACACCCCTTCTGTGAGAAGGAACTTGGATTTGGTACTAAAAATTCCCGTTTCTTATCATTTGGAAGCTGGTTAATGTCTTCAGTGTGCCAAGAAAATAAAGCCCGAATGTATCCAATTGTCCTGGTAAAGCTGCCAGTTCTTGTCCAGCTTGGCTCAGCGAAGAGAGGGGAGGCAAAAGAAAGCCACAGACAGTCTGTAGATTTCAGAAGCCATGACAAGAGGGACATGACTCTCAGGCTGATCGCTTGTCCTGGATTCTGAAAGCCCATCAATACCTCCTCTTTCCAGATGAAACTAAGGCAAATTCAGATGGCACAAGTAGATTGTCAAGTTAATTTTATGTATTTTTCAACCCAGTTTCATAGGAAGACTGGAGATCTAGTGGACAAAAAAGGAAGGAAGGGAGCGAGTCATGGAGGCATGTTCCTTAAATGCCTTTCAAACCCTCTAAAGGAATAATCCACCTCTAGTATGTTGGTGCTTTAAAATGATGACTTTCTTCTCCCTGGTTTTCATGGGTCCTGCCCTACATACCCAAACTAATTCCCCATTATTCCTAAAGTATGTTCTCTGCTCCTGCAGGCCAGCTAGAATGGTGATATCCTACAAAGACAACATCTGTTTATTCATTAAATATTTATAGAGTACATATTATGTGCCAGACACTACACTAGGTGATGGGGATCAATAGTGAATGACACAATCATGGTCCCTGCCCTATTAATGCATACCAGGTTCAGTTCTACTTCTGCCATCACTCATATTCTTCTCTGCAGGAATGCTTACCCTCCTTCTCTCTGCCTGGAAATATTCCACGTTCCTTCTCTTCCAATAATCCTTCCCTATATATTACCAATTCATCAACTTCTTCTCTGAACCTCATCAGCTCTTATGAGCCTATAAAAGTAATGTAGCATTTAATGATACACTTCCCTGTGTCACCTGCCCTTGTCTCATGAACCTTGTCTCCCCATTGAGGCCATAAAGCCCTTGAGGGAAGAAACCACGTCCTTTATTTCTTCTCTGCCTTCCTTATGGACTAACACAAAACTTGGTGCATTTTAAGAATGTATTGCAGATGATTACTTTAAACATGGAATTGAAGAGCAGTTCATAAGCCCTTTGTATTAGTTCCCTATGGCTGCTGTAACAAATGTAACTTAAAATGATTTTTTTAGGTCACAAACTTGGTGACTTAAAAACATAGGAATGTATTCTCTCATTGTTGTGGAGGCCAGAGTCTGAAATCAGATCACTGGGACAAAACCAAGGTGTCAACACAGCCATACTCCTTCATGAAGCTCTAAGGGAGAATTTGTTTCTTGCCTCCTCCAGCTTCTGGTGGCTATCTGCATTCTTTGGCTTGTGGCCACATCTTTCAAGCTTGGCCTCTATGGTCATGTTGCCTTCTCCTCTTTTGTCTATGTCAAATCTTCCTCTGCCTCTCTTTCATAAGGATGCCTGTGATTGCATTTAGGGTCCACCTAGATGATCCAGGATAATCTCCCCATCTCAAGATCTTTAAATTAACCACATTGGCAAAGGCCCTCTTTCCTTGTAAGGTATCATTTACAGGTTCCTGGGATTAAGGCCTGATTTACGTGGGGCCCATTATTCAGCCTTAGATTTAGGGCTTTTGATTTAATAAATCTGTAGCAAACAACCGAATAAAGTCAATTAAAATCATGAAGAATAGTCTCTCTCTTATCCAGGGATCTCTTATCCAGGAAATTTAAATATACAACAGCTAAGAATCAGAAAATAACGCAAAGTAGGTATCACAGAGTCTTCCAGTAGGCGAGACATCCTAGGGTTAAAATTTTTCAGAAGGATTCACTATTGGGAAAGCAATAGTCTGAAATAAGTCAAAAGCATATTATTTTTTAACATGTCCCTCAGGATTAAAAGAAGACTATTTCAAACTAGGATACCTGGGAAGACCATAAATTCAGATTAATTTTTTTTCCTAGGGAAGAGAGTCTTTCTAGTGGTATTCAGCCACAAAACCAATCTTTTCCCACCTAAAACTGCAGGTAGAGATAATATCCATTCCCTTTAGGAAAGTGGTAAGACAATTCAGGCCAGGTAGACCACAGGTAAACTGTGTTGTTTAGTGTAGTTTGGACCTCAGCATGACCAGAGAATAACTCAGCCACTGGGGTTACTGACTGTCTGTTCAGGAGGCTAAGACAGAATCTCTAAGAAGGTGCATCCTTACGAAGGTGAAATCCCAAAGAAGATTGCCTGAAGTCTGAATACAGTTTTAAAAGAGATGAATGATCATCAGGGAGTGTAGTCTAAAAAGAGCAAAATTCTAGTTTTTAGAGTTCCAATTGTACAGGATTGAGTTGTGCTACAGTAACTGACATGATGCAAACCCAGAGGTAGTTTTTAAGGTCCCTGCTTACATGTACATGAAGAGACAAACAGTAAAAAACTTCAGGCCACAGGGCTGAGGTTCAGGAACAACTCTCTTATGAGAAGGCACTGCTGGTCAAACCAACCCAATCAACATGTAATTAGTTGAAATGTTAACTTAGTTGGCTTAGTAAATCTAGTTATCTTTCTCTTAGCAAGATTTGGGTATGCTTAGTTACTACCTTTATTTTTAATGTTCTAGTGAAAGAATACCATTCATGGTCCACAATACAAATATAAATTCTCAGTGGCACCCAGCCATCATCCATTCACCCTGCAGGTTCCTCTAGGGAACTGGTGCAGGATGGCATCAACAGGGCCCACAGGTGTCACTGCTTTTGAGCTGGTGAAGGTAATGACTACCCAGAGTCATCAAGAACAGGGCATATTGTGGTCTACACTCTTGTTGATAAGGCAGGAAACTATATAATGCATTTTTAAATAATTTTCCACAAACACACTTTTTTTTTAGTGTTTTTAAAAGAGATTTTTTTTTTCAGCTATCTGGAAATTTTTCTTAGGAGAAACATCTCTCCTGAAGAAACCCAATCAAAGAAGCAATTCTTCACTCTCATTGATGTGCCTCAAAGCAACTTCCTCTGACTCCTCAAGACCCCAGTGAGGATCTCAGTTTAATTCTCATCTTAGTGTGGACTTTAAATCATTTTCACATCATAACATGTCAACTGTTTACCCTCTTTAATCTCAGTCTTGGAGCTAGAAACATAAACATCCTTCAAGGAGGCAGCTTTGTTTGTCCAGACCCTGTCCCCTGGAAAAGTTATGATCAGCAGGAAATGAAAACAACCAGCATAGCTTTTGTTTTCATTGATATTGGTGACATTTTGCAAATGGAACACCTAAAGCCAAACCAAACCCCGGGCCTCATTCTGACCAAAATCCGAATCAAGGAACTTCATGCAGAACATTAAAAACTCAATTGTCTCCAGCTACAGCTGAATGAAAAGCTCAGATTAAAACTGGCAACGATTTACTTCCTACAAACATGCTTTGTTTCTGGCTAACTTGTCAGCTCATAAAAAACGCCTCTGTACAAGCAGCTGTCTCATTCAAGACGCTGAATCCTTTCATGGTCGTCAATACAAATGTGTTACACAGAACCCAGTCCAGGACCCTTGCTCTAAAACCCTGGCCCAGAGTGTGGGCCTCTCTGCTTCCCTGGTATGCCTTTCTTCTAATTTGATGACTTGCATTTTCAATAAATGGTTATAGAAAATGCCATGCTCTTCATGGAATCCCCTCATCATGCTGCTTCCCAGAAGCCTGTTTATGGAAAAAGCCGGCCCCAGAGGCAAAACAGAGGAGGTCTCTGAAGTTTCCAATTCTTAATCCTAGCTCTTGCTCTTAGCAGGTTTTGGCCAATTTAATGTCTTTATATCTTTAAATGTTTCCTTAGTGAGCTGAGCAACTTGCAGTGACCACGCTGAGCTAGCTTGCTAGGGAGAAATCAAATCAAAATTATGGCAAACCATTTTGCAAATATAAAGCAGCTAATGAATAATGTAATGTCTTTCCCAATGAGCCAGTAAATAAATTGATGACACATCTGAGATGCCTCATTATTTCCTGGATTATTTAGAGAGGCACTGTCAACCTAACTTCAATGTCAATGGTAATATATGCCATTGTACATACTGGAGAGTGGACAGTAGCTTAAAATAAAGAGCCCCTTTTACAATTCCTGATTCTGCTTTGCTCATGTTCCTTCACTCACCTGGAATGACCTCTTTTCTCATTGCATGCTGCAAGTCTTCTCTGAGAACTAGTACACACTCATTCCTTCAAAGCTCAAGCTCTGTTAAACTTCATTAGCTCCGACCTAATGGGAAGACAATTCCAGGTGCTTGAAATTCTCACACGTAATTCCCAGTTTTGACATGCATTGGTTGTGTGACCTAGGAGATGTCACTTCACGTCTCTGAGTTCCAGTTTTCTGAACTATTGAAATAGGACTAGGAGTGCCCTCCTTGCAATTATAGGATCTTCCCCATCCAGGCTCATTTTGGTGTACGGTTACGGGATCAGTAAAGATTGAAACAACACTGTTGCCCTGTGGCAGGGTCTGTTTAGGCCCTCTCACCAGAGCCTGGGGTTGATTCCTGACTGAGCAGAATATATAGGAAACATCTTGGCTGAGGCAAAAGACATTCAAAAATCTTTTTTTGAGGGTATATTATGTAGTAGATATGGTTCCATAGTTGTTATGGGCTAAATTGTGTTCCCTTAAAATTCATGTGTTTAAGTCCTAATCTCTAGAACCTCAAAATGTGACTGTATTTTGAGATATGGTCTTTAAAGAGGTAGTTAAGGTTAAATGAGGTCATTAGAATGATTCCAAATTCAGTATGACTGGTGTTTTTGTAAGGCCAGATGATTAGACACAGACGTACGAGAAGACAATATAAAGACATAGGGTGAAGACAGCCATCTACAAGCCAAGGAGAGAGACTTCAGAAGAAACCAACCCTGCCGACACCTTAATCTTAGACACCTAGCCTCCAGAACTGAGAGGAAATAAATTTCTCTTGTTTAAGCCACCCAGTCTGTGGTATTTTGTTATGACAGCTCAAGCAAACTAATAGCCACTGACCTCCTACTTTTCAGAAACTATCCCCCACTTAAAACATCTACACAATTTCAAATTTAATAGACTTTGTTCATTGGTTTTTTTGTTGTTGTTTTTGGTTTCTTGTGTTTTTTTTTTTTTTGAGACAGAGTTTCACTTTTGTCGCCCAGGCTGGAGTACAATGGCACGTTCTTGGCTCACTGCAACCTCCGCCTCTCGAGTTCAAGTGATTCTCCTGCCTCAGCCTCCTGAGTACCTGGGAACAAGTACGTGTGCCAACACACCCAGCTAATCGAGTAACTTTTTTAAACCCAATTTCTTACACTAATCAATGACACTCAGCTGTTTCATCTGGAACCACACAAGGCTTATGGGCCTTGCCTCAACCATCAGATCCTTTCAGAGATTCTTCTTACCACTAAGACATCTAACCTCCCTGGCCATGTACACTTCTTAGCATACCACGTTCTCTACTATGTATCCTTTCTCTCTCTTCCTCTCTCTCTCTTTTTTTTTCTCTCTCTCTCTCTGAAATCCTGTGCTGACATCAGGCCTCCAAACCATAGGCTAGAAAAAGAAGCCAAATAAATCTGACGCCTGAGAGGATGATGATGATTCACTTTTTTTCTCCAGAGTTCATGACTTTGGAGTTGTCTCCCCTATGCATAGGGAAGCAAGCCCTGGGGAAGTAAGTATCTCTAACAGATGATTCATACTACCTTCCACTCTCCCTCTCCAATTTCCCTGGATTAGAGGAAGAAGAGAATGACAAACAACAGCAGCAGACCTCCCATCTACCAACCACTCCCCCCACTGCAATGAGATGAGACTTAGGGAACACATTTGAGTAATTTGAGTACTTAACCCCTTTTAAGTTAGGCAACAGGGAAGGACGTCCAGGACAGGCACTTAACCAGCCTCTCCTCTCTGGCTGATACTGGGGCCAACCTCGACTCCTCTCTTAGCTTTTCACTGTCAGCTCTTGGCCCCAGGGCACTAATGGAGTAAACCAGCCCACGCTCCTACCTGCTGGGATGCCACATCCACCTTTTCCCCAACACAAGTCTGGAAGCACTGAGTGCATTTTACAGCTGTGTATACAGGCTTGTGTGTGTTTTGCTTTGATTGTAAAGCAAGGTCTAGAGTGCTCCTGTTTTATTAATGTTTAGATGAGTGTCCTGAAGCCATGGAGTAAATTGTTACAAGTACCTATACAGCACCTTACATTTGTATTATCCTTTACTGTTTAGAAAGCACTTTTGCATACATTTGATCTAATAACCCAGGGCAATTTTTTTTTATCATGTTATCAATGAAAAACTGAAGTTTGGGGAAGCAAATGATGTACGTGCTCAAAGTGTCATAGCTACTAAGTGATGGAGCTGGGACTCTACCACAAGTCTTCTAAAGCTTCTGTGTTCTGTGACCTATAGCAGGCTTTGGAATTTATATATAGAGATCCGAGAAATATCCGTACTATGCCAGACACAGTAATAAGTGTCTTCATATTTTTGATCTGATATAAACTCCACAGCAACCCTGAAATGATCCAGGACTACAAAAATTTCCACTTATCCAGATACATGTGTACTACATGAAGAGGACTGGGGAAGAAGATGAGTAATGGTAATAAATGAATCCAGAGAGACAAAGACAATTAGATGAGTGTTTATTATTCCCATTTAACATATAAGAAAAAGGAGGTTGAAAGAGGATATGTGAATAGCCAATGGAAGAATTTTAGTTGGAACCTAAAATTCCAAAAAGCAATGAATTGATCATTCCAAAAGCATTGATTCGATTCACCAACACCTGGCTGAGCTCTTTTGAATTCTAGCATCTGTACTTTTCATAAAAGAAGGTGATGAAAGGTAACGAAGGAAGATCTGAAAAATAATTGAAGTACAGATGCAAAAATACCAATGGGCACTGCCTCACGCACAGACAATTACAGCAAAATAGTCTGAGTCTGGTAGAATTAACCTCATACCAACTAAGGGAGCAGCTTAATATTTCCTCTTGTCAGAGATTTTTCCAGATGAAAGAATTAAAGACAAGCCCGAGTCAGAATAATAAAGCAGGTAAAAACTTGTATTGAACAAAGACAGAGAACCATTCTTGTGATTGGCAAGCCATTGGTCATGGTTCAGTAACACAGTGAGATGGTCTCATTCCCTCTGTGACTCACATGATTCTCTTCCAGAAAGACTGTGCTGCCAGGATGCGAGTAGCTAGCTCAAATAATTGCAGGGTACTCTCTGCCACTGGGACTCTCATTTCTATAAAGATTACATCTCTCCCTAATCAGAGGAGGGTTTTCATATGACCCAGCCAAAGAACCCGCCTTTGACATCTCAGGCAAATTAAGGGGAGATTTTGAGAAACAAGTGCAGGAAATTAAGATTCTGGTGGAGCTGCTTAGCTTATTTGAGAGGAGAATATAAACATCATAACTTACATGCCACTGTCACAGTGTTAAATCTCTGCTTGCCTCATCTTAATTAATCCTCACAACAACCCTATGAGGTAGGTACTATTATCATCTACATTTTAAAAGCAAGAGCACTGAGACACACAGAGGTTAAGTAACTTGCCCAAAGCCACACAGCTAGTAATGGCAGAGCCAGAATTCAAACCCAGGTGTGCAGGAGAGAAAGCAGATTCTGTTTATTACAGCATCACATGCCATCATCCTAGTTTTAGGGTCTCTAATGAAGGAGAGAGAAGAGACCTGGACACTCAGGGTGCTTTCCTCCCACAGCACCTTGTCTTCCCCTAGTTCCTACGTGAGGTCCTTAGCAATTCAGTACAAAAAGAGAAGAAACTAGAAATAGCGGGGAAATTGAATAGAGCAGTGATATCACAACTGTTCACTCTATACATTCATTTTTGTTTTCTCCATCCCTATTCTCCCATCTTTTTGGGAGAGACCAGAAGTTTCTATAGGAACATGTTTAAGCAAGAAGAAACCAGAAACTGCATACTAAGTGTGGCAACCTCCATGTCTGGACTCGCTACCTCCCTGATCTACAAGGACCCCAGTTACTTAGCATTCAGGGTATCCTATCAGTCAGTCTATGCAGAGATGGCTGTTCCTGGGCTATTTCTATAGATTCCCTACTTCATTTGCATTTATTTTGCCTGCATGTCAGTTTCAGTAAATGCTTTAATTAATTATATACTTTAAAGTGCTTGACCATGTGCCATATAGAGACAGGGTACAATTTTTTAAATCAATGAGGGGAAAAATCACTTACAGGGCTTATCAGCTGGAACATTTGTGTTTCACATATAAAAGGGGGGCTAGGAAAGAAATACCCAAGCCCCAAAATACCCAAACTCTACAACTTTGCCTAGATGGGGTTTTGCCTTGCAACGAAGTTTGTTGTGAAAGCCCTCGGAGGTATAAGAATGAACCTGCTCAAGCATGGAAACTTCAGGAAGTAGGAAGGAGTGACTGGCCCCTAAAAAAGCAGAACCAGAGATCTCCATCAAATGTTATCTTGCTGCTTGGAGAAAAAGGCTATTTTTACCCCTGGGTTATTGAAAGAAGCAAACTAGTAAAAACACAAGAAAACCAAAACACATGTGCCAAGATCACAGCTGATTTGATCAGTCCTGCTTTCCTATAGCCAGACAAGTCTGGGTGTCTGGCAGACTCAGGCTTCTGCTCTGAAGTAGACAGAAGGGAGGTTGTGGGCATTTCCCCGCTGTAAAAGGAAAAGCCAATGGAAGAGAGAGTGGGAGAGTAATCCCAGCTGCTCAGTCCAGCACCCGGCACATGGGTTTCCTGCCTAGCAATTGCACAGCAGCTACAGCATAAATAACAACAGCAGCAGGTGGCAAACAAAGGACAAAAATAACAATAGAGCCGGGTGTGGTGGCTCACGCCTGTATTCCCAGCACTTTGGGAGACAGAGGTGGGCAAATCACCTGAGGTTGGGAGTTGGAGACCAGCCTGACCAACATGGAGAAACCCAGTCTCTACTAAAAATACAAAAATTAGCCCGACATGGTGGTGCATGCCTGTAATCCCAGCTACTTGGGAGGCTGAGGCAGAAGAATCGCTTGAACCTGGGAGGCAGAGGTTGCGGTGAGCTGTGATCCAGCCATTGTACTCCAGCCTGGGCAACAAGAGTGAAACTCTGTCTCAAAATAAATAAATAAATAAATAAATAAATAAATAACAATAGCTACCATTTGTCGAATGCCTACTGTGAGAACAGCTCTTTCACTGGGTATTTTTACATGTATAATCATATTTTTTCCGCATAACCTATATGATAATGGTGTTATCCTTATTGCACAGTTGAAAAAATTAATAGAAGATTAAAATACCTAGCTCAGAGTTGCATAGTTAATATAAGAGTCAAGATTCAAACCCGGGTCTTTATGAATCGAAGGTTTAGGGGAAACCATCACTAGTGCTCAAGTTTGCCACTGTTTTCTGAGAATCAAGAAGCTGAATGAATCACAAATCACTACCACCAGTGATTCCAGCTGCCTGCCGCACCACAGCAAATGATTTCCAGGGGGTTACCTAGAGATTGCTACAAAACCTCACATCCCATAAAGCCTTTACATCTACCCTCTACTGCTGGAGGAAAAAATGTGTATCATTTTGCTCCTCTTCTGGGTCCAGATCTCTCACAAGTGCCTTCTAGTGACAGAATCTACGTGGGACCACTATTGGCAAAGAATTGTGAAAATGTAGTCAGGCTACTAGCCCTGTGATAAGAGGAAGTCATAGAATAGAGCAAGAATGAATCTGCATTGCCCAAAGGCATAGGCAGGGATATCACTACAACAATCCGGAATTTAGGAAAATGTGTGGAGGTAGTTATAATCCACTACTGAAAACTCTATAATAGGGAAGGCATGGCTATAGTTTAATGGAAGCAGCTGATGAACCAAAACCACAGATGAAATATTTTGGCCACTATTTTGCACCCTGACTAATATTCTCAAGCTGGCCAAGTACTTTTTTGCAGATTCAAAGTTTCAACAGCCTCCGGAAGGAAAGGAACGTGCAGCTGAAGTCTCTTTCCAGCCCTTCCTGTTCTTACCAGAGTCCCTTGTGAGAATCCTATGCATCAACAGTTTTAATTATTGGTAAAAGAATTCTGGGCTCTATTTTCCACTCTCAGTGAAAATTCCTACCTGCTGGCTGCCTAACCCACTAAAAGCACTTTTCTGCTTACTATAATTTCTTGAGGAAAGGCTTTAATTTTAATGACTGAATTAGCTGAAATGACTTAAGAGAAATTTGTTAATTTTTAACTTAATTTCAATGATCACAGTTACATTCTATCCCTATATCCTGAGGGCAATTACTTCCAATACTCATAACTCTTTCTTGACTCCATATTTCTCAATATTATGCTGATACTGCTAGTTCTTGATTTTTCCATTTAGATGTTATGTATTGACTGTCTACTATAAAAAATGAGGACTTCGCTTTCTTATCATTCAACATACACACATACACAAGCATACAACTTGGTTTTTCATTCATCCTCCCAAAATAACTTTTTGAGTTAAGTCAATATTCAGTATTACATTATTACGATAGGACATTTATTCACAGCTGCATCATGTTGTTTTCTGTTACTATATATCTTTTCTTATAAACTTTTTTGTTTTCCTTATATTTTTCCCCCTTGCTTAAATTTTCAGTAATCACAAAGTCATTGGCAAACTTTCTACCATAAGGAATAATCAATCTCCTTTCAACAGGCTGAAACATATCTCCGAGAAGATGTAATACCGAGAGATATGTTTTGCTCTGGGAGAAGGAACGGCCACTCTCCTGAGGGTATCTCCAAGAAATATGTTTGCTCTCTGGACTTACTGCCCAGCTACCATTCTGAGACAACCTGCTAATATCAGCCAGGGACTTAGACATTGTATCTCATGAAATGTTCCTGGGCACTCCCTTGAATCTCCTCTCCACATGAGGTGGTGGTGGTGGTGGTGGTGGTGGTGGTGGTGGTGGTGGTAATAGCTATGTTTTCCCACAGTTGGGCCAGAGATTCCCCTCCACATTCTTACTACCCCCTGTTCTTCTTAGATGATCCTACATGTGTCCTGGGCATGTGAAAGTAGGGTGCTGGTGTATTCCAGAGCCTGAGAGCCTTCCAGTGCCCCTGTGGCCAGTCTGTCTGAATGGGAAATAATGGAGAGAAACCAAAATACAAATGTGTGTGAAGGGTTTCCAAGAAGTTGTTATCCAAACCATTTCTGGAAATAGATGATAACATTATTTCCTTAAACCCAGGATGCCAGAAAAAGAGAGACAGACTGTAATAAATGGCATGATGTAAAAATTAGTTTCGAAATCCCAGTGTTTTTCTCTTTTTCAAGCCAATTGCTTTGTGCTAAATGATATCACCAGGGGTCTATGAGTGAGTTCTGTGTAGGCCCAGTGCCCAAAGCCTTTTTACAAATCCATTTTCTAAAATCATTGATGAGGCCGTTGCTACATGGAGTACAGACTCTGGCTCCTTTCCTCAAATTCAAACATTAGATAATAAATACGCTATCACAAAAGTTTGGTTAGCTGAGGCTCCCTGGAAAGCCAAATAGCAAAACCAAAAAAAAGCACAATTTTGCCACGTATTCCATGGAGAATACAAAATGCAACTGACTTAGACCTGGAGTGAGTGTCATTTCTCCCCATTGCACACAGAACACAGCGAAACCCATCATTCTGTAAACATTTATATATACATATACATATATATATATACCCACACACATATCTATATATAATAGTATGAATCATAATATCAGGCTTAGCTAACATTTTAATCACTAACACTCTAATAAATGGTATTTCTGCCCTACTAAAAGTAGGGCAATAGATTAGCAATAGAGTTCCATGAGCCCCCTTCACCCTTAAAAAAGTATATAAATCAATTTTAGAAGACTTTTATGTTCAAAGTACTTTTCTTAGGTGAAGAATAACTTACATACAGTAAGATATATAACTATTAAGTACACAGCTTGATGAATATTTACATATGTAAACACCCATGTTACCACCATCCAGATAAAAATATAGACTATTTCTATCACCCAGAAAGTTCCTTTATGCCTGCATGTTATTGGGTTCATTTTTAATGGTAAATATACTTTATTGCTAACTTTATATTATGAGAATATTTGATTAAACAGAACTCTGACCATTCCAGGTAGAAAAGAAAACGAACATTTATCGAGCAAATGAAATTTTCTAAGCACTTTGACATTTCATGCTAATCCTGTTAGGTGTAATTATCTCCACTGAGCCAATGAGGAAACTTGGGCTCTGAGAGTTTAAGGGGCCTTTCCAATGTCTTACAGTCTGTAAGCAGCTCAAGGCCTTTGTTTTTTCTTTTCTTTTTTTTTTTTTTTGAGACGGAATCTCGCTCAGTCCTGCACTTAATTGATCCTCCCACCTCAGCCTCCCAAGCAGCTGGGACTACAGGTGCACACCACCACGCCTGGCTAATTTTTAAATCTTTGTTTTGTAGAGATGAGGTCTTGCTATGATGCCCAGGCTGGTCTCAAACTCCTGGCCTCAAGCTATCCTCCGCCTCAGCCTCCCAAAATGTTGGGATTATAGGTATGAGCCACTGTGCCTGGCCTGTTTTTTCCCTGTGATCACACTGCCAGGCAATATAGCTTACTGTATTTTGCAACTAAGAGAGTGTTTTTGTTTCCATGTGTGTGTGTGTGGTTTTTTTTGTTTGTTTGTTTTTTGTTTTTTTGGTTAAGTCTCATTTATGCCCAATACTAAAAAATGATAAAGGATAAATGAAATCCATAGAAAATAAAAAATACTTATCTACAGGTAACCTTAAAATATCTTTATTTATTAGTTTGCCTTAAAAATACCTTAAGAATAAGACCCAGCACTTTAGGAGGCCAAGGTGGGTGGATCGCATGAGCTCAGGAGTTTGAGACCAGCCTGGGCAACATGGCAAAACTCCATCTCTACAAAAAATACAAAAATTAACCAGGTGTGGTGGTACATGCCTGTAGTCCCAGCTACTTGGGAGGCTGAGGTGGGAGGATCGCTTGAGCCCAGGAGGCAGAGGTTGCAGAGTGAGACCCTGTTTAAAAAAAAAAAAAAAGAATAAGAGGGAAAAAGAGAAAGATAGTGCCCATATCCTAACTATGCCTTAAACACAAAAAGATGTTGTTTTTTAATCTCTTTGAAATGGCTTACCTTTGATATTGATTTTCAAGTTCAGGGCCACGAGTA
The DNA here is from genome assembly GCF_000001405.40 of Homo sapiens. Classification (NCBI taxonomy): domain Eukaryota; kingdom Metazoa; phylum Chordata; class Mammalia; order Primates; family Hominidae; genus Homo; species Homo sapiens. The sequence continues at coordinate 75,858,415 of NC_000012.12, forward strand.
AAGGAATAGTGTTAACTAGACTCAAAACAACCTGCAATTCACCTGATCAACAAGACCAGGAACCAAGTGGCCCAGGTCATGGGAGTAGTGGTTTTGTGGGACCCTGGTTAGTGGTCCTTAAAGGCCGATTTTTGTGACCTCAGGGGTTTGTGATAAACCATCCCAGTTTGCCTGGGGCTGACACAGTTTTAGCAGTGAAAATCCAGTGTCCCAGACAAACTGGGCTGGCTAGTCACCCCATGCATAGGCACCGCCTTTTTTTTTTTTTTTTTGGCCCGCCTTTCAAATCACCTTAACAAAATGTTGGTTTGATCTTTGGGATTCCAAAGGATGTTTAGGAAAGTGAAGAAAATCATAAATGCAAATTAAATCAATTTGTTCACCAAAAAGAGGTTTCTTTAAAGAGGACACCTAAATGCTTCTGCTTATAGACACATAAGAAATAAGAAGAATGCAGAAGCACTGTCTCATTGCTTCCAGGGAGAAGAATTTGGTGCTGGCTGACCAGGCAAGGATGGTAGTCTCTCACGGCATGCCCTTTTAGAGCCATTTGAATTAAATGGATGCATATTCATGATTACACTAATTCAGTGTTGTGGAACTGTGTTCCTCAGCAGGCCTTGAGGGACCATAGGGTGGGGAATTAGGGAAGTAATAGAGATAATTGCAGACACCCTTCACCTGCTTCAAGCAGCTTTGTATTAGCTGTTTTACATTTTGGCTTCTTCACAAGATTTCACTTAAATAAAAGGTTTTATGATATTTTTAAAAGTCTAAAAACCATAGCACTAGTCCTTTTACTTACAATCTGTAAACAGCAACCCTTTCTAAACAATCCTTTACGGAAGAGAGACACCAAGGTCTACTGAAAAACTGGGGACATGGCATCAAAGGAGTCAGGTTCCAATCCTGGGTCCACGCTTGCTGTCTGTGTGACCGTGAGTAAGTTTCTTTATACCCTGGGAGCCTTAGTACCTTCATCTGTTTTCAAAAAGTATATGTATCTGTGTGTAATATTAGCCCATTGTGAGAATTAAATGCTATACTACTCATGAACCAACAAGCACTGTACCTGTGTACATAGCAAATACTCATAAATGTCTAATCTGAAACTGAATCAGTGTTAAAAAGGCATTAATGCAGAAGTAGGTTATTAAAATACTATTAAAAGGATGTGAAGAAAATAATAATACCACCTGCATATGTTTATGTCAGGTTCTGTTCAAAGTATTTTATACTAATTAATTCAATTAATAAAACAGAGTGAAAGTTAGAGATGAGTGGAAGATTAAAGGAATGGAAAATTGGCCCTATGAGGATACTGGACCAGAGATGGGGATAATGGTTTACATTAGGACAAATGTAATCTCAGCTGATCTGTAGGAGATCTCAGCTAAAAATAAAGAAGAAATTATTTGGCTATCAAGCCAATCAAATGCTGGTAAAGAGTTTGTTAGGTACTGTGACTCCACAAGGCCATTTACCTAGGGAGGGAGCTGAAATATGAGGAAGCCAGGAAAGGGACAAAGAGGCCGATAGGCTAAATCCAAGTTGGCAGAGTGTGGCCTAGATGAGTGCCCTGCCCTAGAAGGAGAGCCATAACCAAATGCCAAGCCAAAGGACCACAATGAGAAGGCTGCCCAGTCAAAAAACTGAGTCATGAGTCATGGGTTGGGGTGTAACACCCTGAAACAGCATACCAAAGGCAAGAAGGCAGTGTCTGAAAAAGCCAGCTGGGCCATGTGTGGATCTCAGCAGATTATCAACAGCTCTGCCCTACATCTCTTGCAGCCATGCAGTTCACCGTAAAGCAGTCCTATTTATGAATTGTTAGCTCATACCAAGACTCTTCCAGGAAAATTTACTGGGCTAAATAGGTGCATGATTGGCCAGTCGTGGTGGCTCACACCTGTAATCCTAGCACTTTGGGAGGCAGAGGCACGCAAATCACCTGAGGAGTTTGAGACCAGACTGGCCAACATGGAGAAACCCCATCTCTACTAAAAATGCAAAAAAAATTAGCCGGGCATGGAGGCACATGTCTGTAATCCCAGCTACTAGGGAGTGTGAGGCAGGAGACTCCCTTGAACCCGGGAGGCAGAGGTTGCTGAGAGCCAAGATCATACCATGAACTCCAGCCTGGGTGACAGAGCGAGACTTGTCTCAAAAAATAGTAATAATAAGTAAAATGACTTCTCTAAATGGTAGCTATTTATCCCCTCTTATCTCAAAACAGAGTTTGGATAAGGTAATCACAATGTATTTTAGAATTCTGTGAAAAACATGGAAGAGATGAATAAAAAGAGGGTGGGACAAAGAAAGGGACTAAGAATTTTTTTTGGCCTGGCGTGGTGGCTTACACCTGTAATCCCAGCACTTTGGGACGCCAAGGCAGGTGGATCACAAGGTCAGGCATTCGAGAACACCCTGGCCAATATGGTGAAACCCCGTCTCTACTAAAAATACAAAAATTAGCCAGGCATGGTGGTGCCTGCCTGTAGTCCCAGCTAGTCAGGAGGCTGAGGCACAAGAATCACTTGAACCTAGGAGGCAGAGTTTGCAGTGACCCAAGATTGAGCCACTGCACTCCGGCCTGGGCAACAGAGCGAGAGACTCTGTCTCAAAGAAAAAAAAAGATTTTTTAATTGCCATTGATAAAAATTATATTTTTAAGTTTTAATATGAGTAACCCATCTAAAAGTGGGAATAAATAAAAATCATACTGTTAACCTAGTACAGAGGTTCTGAAACAGCAATCCATGCAGACTAGGTACATCAGAATCATCTGAGAAGTCTTTTTTTGTTTTTGGGTTTTTTTTTGTTTTTTGAGGTGGAGTCTCTGTCACCCAGGCCGGAGTGCAGTGATGTAATCTCAGCTCACTGCAACCTCTGCCTCCTGGGTTCAAGCGATTCTCCTGCCTCAGCCTTCCAAGTAGCTGGGACTACAGGTGCCCACCACCATGCCCGGCTAATTTTTGTACCTTTAGCAGAGACGGGGTTTCACCATATTGGCCAGGCTGGTGTCAAACTCCTGACCTTGTGATTCACCCACCTCGGCCTCCCAAAGTGCTGGGATTACAGCGTGAGCCACCGTGCCCGGCCAAGAAGTCTTTTTAAAAATATATTCCCAGTTATTTCCCCCAGACCTATTACAACACAATTTCGCAGGATGGGTCTGGTTATCTCTATTTTTTAAAGCTCCTTGGGTGTTCCTGATATACAAATAGACTTGAGAACTTCTGACTTTGTAGACACTCTCAGTATTCGAGGCCTTGTACCAAAAATTAGTGAGAGCTTTTTAGCCAGCTACCTGCTTAGGGTACTAGGACAGTAGTGTTGGTTTGTTCTATTTGATTCAGGTACTTCTCAACAGTAAGAGAAAACTTTTTTTTAACACAGGACCTGATGAGAAAAATGAGACAATATATAAGGAAATACAACCTCCTATGATAAATGAATTGAATCCATATACCTTACTTATTGTAAGCAAAAATACGTATGGTAAAATATAAATAATCACAGGTTTAAATGTCCTCCTCTCTAGAACATTGGTAAAGCCCTTAACCAGGACCACTTGGGAGAGAAACTCTGTCCTTATCTGAGTCCAAATCTGCATCTTATTTTATAGTTTTCATCCATGAAGGTCTTTTTTGGCTGTTTCCTGTTGTCAGTGCTAATATGCTCATTGTAAAGAACTTTGAGTTTTTATGTCTACAATTACTCAAAGTCCAATGCCTAATACACAGGTTTTCTTCCATTTAAGTCATCAACTATATTTCTAGTATTGTTCCAGTCTCTGCTCGTAATTGCTTTTGTACGAGCCTGTATAACCAAAGAAACTTCTAAAGATACAGTCCTCTTATATGACCACTTTCAAATGGAACTGTTCCGCTCAAAGCTTCAGATCTTTCCTCAGGTGAGGCAGAGAGAGAAATCACTTCTAAATTGAGCATTTAGCCTTCATTACTATATTCCCTATATCACAATGTACTGTAAATGGTTCACTTATCTTGCATTTATCCCAAGGTACTATAAATTTATGTTTAATTATTTGATTGTTTATCTCTACCATGAGTTATAATAAGTCTAGGAGGACAGGGAGCATCTGTATTGTCTATTGCTGAATCACCTATACCTAACTTGATGCCTGGCTCACATAAATGTTTCATAAATATTTGTTGAATTGAAGAATGGACGGATGGATAATTGTTCCCTGCTTTTCCACAGAATATTTCCTACAAAGTTACTATCCACCCTTGAGGCCCCAGAGAACAGACAGGGTAGCACATTCATTTGTGTGTGTCCTCAGTACTGAGACCAAGGGCTGACACAGAGTAGTTGTATAATGAATGTTTGATGAATGACTGAATAACCTAAGGCAGAGTTCACTAAGCCATATGATTCATTGCCTTGTTGTTCAATACCTTCCACAAAAGAGTTGCCTAAGCTTGTATATAATCTGAATCAAATCAGAGGATTCAGCAGAAATTCTCTGAACTTGAATAGTCTGGCTTGTGAAACAGCTGAATATCTAAACATTCCCAAGTTCCCAAATTGTATGTAGACTAAATAATTTGCAACCAGGAATTGTCCTTGTTAGGGAGATTAGTGCTGAGAATATCCCAATTTGTACACTACTAAGTCCAAGAAACAAATTACATGTCTATTTGCCAGAGCCATGGTTTCTGTATGGCATCATCTCAGATGAGTCAGGACCAAAGAGGTCATCAGTATCAGAAATGCAGTGACTGATTTCCTGCACCGTTGAAGGCTGAGAAATAGGATTTGGGAATTGAGCTTTATAGTCCAAATATTCCTTCCATCACCTTACCCCCCCATAAATGCATGCACTCAATTGAAGTCAGATTACTCAGGCTGACTATAAAAGGCAAGATTTTCCTGTTTCCATTTTCAAATATAAAATAGCCACCTATAGGAAATAAAACATGATTCACAGTTAGGTAAATACTCTATTGTTAGTGAGTCAATAAACATGAATCAGTCGTATACTTATAAAGACAACCTGAAAGAATTTGAGGCATAGGATAACAAAATAAAAATTAGAGCTAACATCTGTTGAACATTTTGCTGTTCACCAAACATTGCACTAACAATATGGAATATATGACAGTTAATTTTAGGTATCCACTAGACTGGGTTGGGAATACCCAGGTAGCGAGCAAAACATTATTCCCGGGTGTGTCTGTGACGGTGCTTCTGGAAGAGATAAGCATTTGAATCAGTAGACTTAGTAATCAGCAGACTTCCATCCAGGCTCTGCACCGACTAGATGATGATCACCCACATCCTCTGGATAAAAAGCCAGAGGGAGAGTCAATTCATTCTCTTCTGGGTTGGGGATAGCCATCTTGTCCTGCCCTCAGACGTCGGAACTCCAGGTTCTCAGGCCTTCAGCCTTGGACTGAGAGTTGCACCGTTGGCTCCCCTGTTCCCAGGCCTTTGGACTCAGACAGAATTACACTACCAGCTTCTCTGGTTCTCCAGCTTGCAGACAGCATATCAGGATTTCTCAGCCTCTATAATCACATGATCCAATTCCCTTAATAAATTCCCTCTTATATCTATATATATCCTATTGGTTCTCTTTCTCTGGAGATCTCTGACTAATACAGAATATATCTTTTAAATCTCCATACTAACCCAAGAGGTAAAGTCTATTATTATCACCATTTTATAAATAAGAAAACTGACATCCATAGAAGTCAAATAATTTTCCCCAGATGACACATTATATAAAAGAGGGGCCAGGATTTAATCCCAGAAAGATAAAAAGGTAAAAATCTAAGCCAATCATTTAACATCTGAGTCAAGAAGCAGAGAAAAATCAGTGAACACCTTTAAAAGTTCTTTTGGGGTTAAGGGAGTCTGGCATACAAGTAGGATTTCCACTTCTATGCAGTTCAGACAGGAAAGGAGATGGTCCCAAAGTGGTAGGTGTGGCTGGGAATACAACCAATTTGAATCAAAAGGAGGAAAGAAAATCAGTTCCAGATCCAGAATACTATGTGTCTCTCCCAAGGCCTATTCCCCTCCCACAAAAAAATTGTCCAATTTTTAAAATTTTCTCTTAAGGGTCACATCTATAAAACAAATCACTGGAGGCTCAGAATAGGTACTTTTTACAAATATTATTAGCTCCTGAATATAGGTATCTTACTTACTACTCTTAATACATTTTGAAACCATGAGAATCACTAAATAAAGGCAGATCTTTTACCCATGATTCACCTACTAATCCAAAGCATCCAGCTAAATAGAATTCCCATTATTTCCAATAACACTGCTCTGCTCAGAAAGCAAGAGGCCTAATCATAATCTACTCTCCGGTAGCCTCCAACAGGTGAAATGTGTTCAACAGTCCCCAGCCTTCAGGAGGGCAATTCAGTGTGCACGTAGATACAGCCAATAGCATCTGTTATCTGTTCCATCAAGCTTGCCCAAGGGGTGGTGTTCAGGAACTCAAACCACGTTTTTCCCCTGCTCTCACGTCGACAGCATAACAATCAACACAGAAGACTTCTGTGACCCCAAAACATGTGAAGATTTCTCCCCACTAGCAAACAAGGAATCCATTCTGCAGCAGACAACAGCTCGGTGTCCTCCAATTCGATTCCGGCTTTATCTGCTTGCAGACAGCGTCAGATCCCACAAGTAGAGGGCTCAATCATGAAAACTGGCCCCTGCTTCAGCCACCAGCCACAAGCCCAGGCCCTCAGAAATTTGACTGACCAGCTTTAAGTTGGGGTTTCCATGACCCACCTCTTTGGGCTCAATTAATTTCATGGGATGGCTCACAGAATTCAGGGAAACATGTTTACTGGTTTACTATAGAGGATATCACAAAAGATACAGATGAAGAGATAAAGGGAGTGAGGTATGGAGGAAGGGGCACAGAGCTCCTCAAGGTACACCAGGAACCTCCTCATGATCAGCTATCAGGAAGCTCCCCAAATCCAGTCCTCCTGAGCCTTTTATGCAGACTCCACTGGATAGGCATGATTGAAACATAGAAAACCATGTAGAAATGTGATTGGACAAAAAAGATGTGATCTAAACCCAGCGAGGCCCGTCTGTTCAGATTCTTCTTGGCCTCTCTGTGCAGGCTTCCTTCCTCTAGGGTATGAGTCAGGACCCTCTCTGGAATATAAGTTCTTATGACCCACAAGTAGATTGAGTCCTGCCTTGGGCAAGTGGAAGGAGAAGGTCAGAGAGTGATTCTGTTTCCTGCGGCCTGCACCTGAGACCTAAAGTGCCCCATCATTATAACAAAGGACTATAAAAGGGCTAATGGAAGCTATAAGCCAGGAAACCATGACATTCATATATATAAACCATATATATGTTTTCATTCATATATATAAACCATATATGTTTTCATTCATATATATAATGTTTTCATTTATATATAAACATATATGTTTTCATCCATATATAAATATATATTTGTTATATATATGTTATAAAATATCACAGGTGACACAAAGTAATGTACCTGCAATTTTTTCTTTGGTCCTTAACTGCTCTGAGGAACTAGTGTAGCCCTGATTTTCCTATGGGAATTGTGTATTGGGCACAGGTGAAACAATTACAAGTAGCAATGCTTCTAGATGTCCCTTGTAATAGCAGACCAATAAGCATTCCTCATAGAGTTGGGTCACGACTCAGACCCAGCTCTGATGTCTCAACTTCAATCTGCACAGAAGCTTCCCAGCACAATTCTAATGGGCAGACTAGGTTTCTGTAGTCCATAGACAAAGGCAGGAGGTAAAGTGGGAACCTGGATCTAGAAAGCCAAGGACAAAAAGACCAAAGCAAGTACAGAAACTGGAGTAAATAAGTTATTTCCAGGCATGGTTACTTTCATCTGTCAACTTGACTGAGTCTCAAGGTGCCTAGATATTTCATCAACGATTATTCTGGGTATTTCGGTTAGAGTATTTTTAGATGAGATTAACATTTAAATCAGTAGACCGAGTAAAGCAGTTTTCCCTCCCTAATGTGTGTTGGCCTCATCCAATCCTCTGAAGGCTTGAATAGAACAAAAAGGCAAACTTTCCTCCTAGTAAAAGAGAAGTCTCCTGCTTTCAGACTCAAACTGAAATATTGGCTCTTCCTGGGTCTCAAGGCTGCTGGTCTTCAGACTTGAACTACACCATCAGCTCTCCTGGGTCTCCAACTTGCTGCCTGATCTTACAGATCTTGGGAGTTTCCTACCTCTATAAATGCATGAGCCAATTCCTTATAATCAGACAACCAATTTCCATTTCCCTCTCTCTCTGGGTCTCTCTCTCTCTCTCTCTGTCCAGATAGATCCACACACACACACACAGATATACACACACACACAAACACACACCATATTCGTTCTGTTTCTCTGGATAACCCTAATACACTTCCCTTGCACTTCAGCCCCTCACACCCATGACCCATGACCACACCTTTGGACCTTGTTACCACCTGGATCTGAAATTTAGCACTCCTCTACCCAACTCTGACCACGACTTCCTATCCCTTCAGCTCCCTGGGTCCTTTAAATCCACCACACCCTCCCTTTGACCTCCCATCTTGGACCAACTTAAACTCCTCCCGTACTCACTTCCTGCCCTACCTGCCTTGGCCTCAGATCCAACACTCAGTGTCTCTTAATATTTGCAACTCCCTTGCCTATAGTCAGCCACTTTTGCCCACCAAAACCCAAACTCTGAATCAATCCCACTGCCTGTCTACCTTTTCCACGTTTAGATCCAGAGTGCTCAGTGCTGTTGGAGAAAATCAGAAAACCGCACATGCTGATGCCCCTACAAATTTCAGCTTCACTGACAACACACTCTCTGGTTTCTCCTCTTCTATCTCTAGACATTCATTCTCATTCTCTGTTTGGGATTCTTCTTCTTTCACTGGCCCCAGGGGTCCATCCTCCAGCCCCTTCTGTCTACACAGTGGATATGTGGGGAATTAGTTCCAGAACCACCCTCCTCACTCTTCCTCCCAGCCACCACCCCACGGCCACCCATTCCCCACCCTGTACCAGAATCTGCAACTACTTAAGTCCCACAGTTGGCCCTGCAGGAACCCTCAAATAGGAAACGTAGGCCCTCCATATAAGTGGGTTTCACATCCCTTGAATACTGTATTTTCTACTTTTTACTTATATGTAAAAAATCCACATGTAAGTGAACCGGCAGTTCAAACCCATGTTGTTCAAGGGTCAATTGCCTACACTTTTTGGATGATCTTATCCACCCCCATGCCTTTAAATCTTCACCCATATCCTAATTTTTTATTGATCTACATCACCAGTGCTGGTCTGTCTCTGAATTCCAGATACAATTGCCTCCTAGGCAGCTATAAACACTCAAACTCCACATCTGAAAAAGGAGCTCTTAGCACCTTCACCTTAACCACCATTAACAACCTATTCTTTTTATATTTCCTATCCCAGTGAATGGCAATATCACCCACCTGGTTGTTCAGAATAGAAACCTGGGGCTCACCCCCACATCCAGCAACTAAATTCTGCAATATTAATACCCCTTTAATATCTTCCAATTGGTGTACACGTGATATTGTTTCTTCAAGGCTTTATTATTTTCTCATCTGGGCTAATGCCTTAGCTTTATTTGCCCTTCTCAGAACTTTTTTTTTTTTTTGAGACGGAGTTTCTCTCTTGTTACCTAGGCTGGAATGCAATGGCACGATCTCAGCTGTCCGCAACCTCCACCTCCCCAGTTCAAGCGATTCTCCCGCCTCAGCCTCCCGAGTAGCTGGGATTACAGCTCACCACCATGCCCGGCTAATTTTGTATTTTTAGTAGAGATGGGGTTTCTCCATGTTGGTCAGGCTGGTCTCGAACTCCTGACCTCAGGTGATCCACCTGCCTCAGCCTCCCAAAGTACTGGGATTACAGGCGTGAGCCACTGTGCCTGGCCGCCCTTCTCAGAACTTTCTTTCTTGCAGTGAGCTTTCTATCATTGGTAAATAATATTCAATAAATATTTTTGGGTGTCTATTATGTGTCAGGAACAGTGCTGGGAGATAATGAGAAACAAAAGCAGACACAGTCCCTGTCTTCCTGAAACTTACACTCTCTCATGTTCTTTTTCTAACAAATGAATTTCATATTCACTCCTTGCAAGACATGAGGTCTGGAGCCAGATGCCTTTGGTTTGAAGCCCAGTTCTTCCATTAGACCATGCATGCTTGGTCAAGTTAACAAGCCTGTGCTTTAGCTTTCTCATTTGCAAAAGAAGAATCATGAGAGTGCCCACATCCAGGGCCAGCAGTTGCCGATACACACAGTGACAGTGGTGGGTAGCAGTGCTTCACAGCTGGCATCCCTCCTGCTAGGATGGCTGCCAATGAGGACCAGTCCACGCCAGTTGGTAAATATTTTTAACTCTCTCTTCCTTATTCCATAGAGTTGGTGTGAGGATTAAACGAGCTAATACATGTGAATGAATAGAAGAGCACTGGCACTGAGAAGTACTCCATTCCATAAATATTCACTGATTTAAATTCAACAGGTGATTTCCCATCCCAAGGTATCAAAGCTCTCCATTTCTTGCTACCTGATCATCTTACCTTCTGTTCCAGCCATACCAAACCTCTTAGTTCTCTAAAAAGGCCACTTTCTTTTCACCCACCTTTATATTTTTATATACGCTGTTCCCTTTGCCTGGTCCACCCTAACCTCTTCTGTGTCTGCATACAAATATACACATAAACACCTGGAGAATGCCTACTCTTTCTTCAATGCTTAGCACATATTTCTAAAACTCCTCAGTGTGGCCAGGCACGGTGGCTCACACCTGCAATCCTAGCACTTTGGGAGGCCCAGGTGGGTTGGTCACTTGAGATCAGGAGTTCAAAACCAGCCTGGCCAACATGGTGAAACCCCATCTCTATTAAAACTGCAAAAAATTAGCTGGGCGTGGTGGTGTGCACCTGTAGTCCCAGCTATTAGGGAGGCTGAGGCAGGAGAATCGCTTGAACCCAGGAGGTGGAGGTTGCAGTGAGCCAAGATCACGCCACTGCACTCCAGCCTGGGAGACAGAGTGAGACTTCATCTCAACAAACAAGAAAAAAAAAAAAACTCTTCAGTTTGAGTAACACCTCCTTCAGGAAGCCATCTCTGACTCCCCCTCTAGGTGCACTGACTCTGGTCACTTATTAGCAAACATCAATTACTATGGGCCTCTCAGCCTCCCTTCCCTTAACAGCCTCACTCGTCTTTCCTTTGAGAAATGGCTCTTCTCACACTACCTACTCTGTGGGAGTCTGCAGTATCTTTAATTACAGTTGCCACCCTCCAGGCACAGTAGCCAGATCCAACGAATCACAGCATCCCGTGGCCCCTGTGATAGTGATTGGTCCAAGAAGTGGGCGTGTGACACAAACTTAGCCAATAAAAGTCCTTGCCCTCCCTTGGATTGTTCTAACTAGAGCAAGCAAGGAAGATTTTTTTGTCTCTGGGATCAGGTAAATAGAAGGATGTGGCACAGGGGTTACTTACAGCCACATTCTCCACCATGGAACCAAAGAATTTTGATATATTTTTAGAATATATTGGCCTTACCTCTATCAAAGGCCATTGCCTCTCTAACTGGAGTTTTCTGTTTAACAAGAGATTCAGTCAACAATGAATGTTTGTGCCCATTCGTTGTAACATTCGTTGTTAACAATTAATCTCTTGCATTCAGATATACATAATACTGAAAATTGGGCACAAACTAATTACATCTCTGGCCACACTTTATATTATATCAATATTAAAAATAGTATGATATTCTTGCCATAAGTTGACAACAGGAATAGACTCAATTTAGCTATCTGAATTTTTTTTTTTTTTTTTTTTTTTTTTGACATAGAGTTTCACTGTCACCCAGGCTGGAGTACAAGGGCACGATCTCGGCTCACCACAAACTCCGCCTCCTGGGTTCAAGTGATTCTCCTTTCTCAGCCCCCTGAGTAGCTGGGACTACAGGTGTGCACCACCATGCCAGCCTAATTTTTGTATTTTTAGTAGAGACGGGGTTTCACCATGTTGGCCAGGCTGGTCTCGAACTCCTGACCTCAGGTGATCTACCCGCCTCGGCCTCCCAAAGTGCTGGGATTACAGGCATGAGCCACCATGCCCAGCCTGCTATTTGAATCTTTAGAGGAAGGAACTGTCCTTCACACACATTTTGAGGGGAGAATGCATAAGTCTGTCCACAATTTGAAACTTAGAGACTGAAAACTAAGTTATACTCAAACAGAGCTCAAATCTTTCCTTTAATGTGAAAATATTTTGCATATGACCCTTTAGAGCTAAAGGGGTAGGAGACATTAAAAGAAACAAAACAAGGCATTTTTCTGTTTATTTCAGAAGAGAAAAGAAAGAAAACAATTTAGTTAAGCTAGAAAGTAACTTATCTGAAATGAAAAAATGCAGTTTCTAAACCTTGTTTAGCCATTGAGTCGCCAGAAACATAGCAACTCTATTGTGAATCCTCTCTTCCTCCCCAGCCAGATCTATAAATTAGAAATAATATTATGCGTCCTGGCTAGTCTCACTACAGCTTAATGAGGTTATTTCTAAGAAATCCTTTCATTTCAAAAAGTCATAGGAAAATTCAAAGAACTTTTATTGTAAAAGGACTTAATTTGATTAAAAAGCCCTCCATGCCTACTTTGTGAGTCATGCAAATTTCCCACTGACTTTCTGTGTGTCTCTATTATCAGCATTAAATATTTATTTAAAGTCTATTGAAGTAAAAAATTATTCTCCCAGCTCTCAGCCCAAGTTGATTTCTAATGACTATTTAGTTTTTATGATGATTTTTACATTTTTCATTAACAATAGAAGAATCTAGTGTTAAATTGAAAGTTATCAACATTGGCCCCTTGCAAGTTTTCTGAATGTTGAAAAGATCTTTTTTTTTTTTACCATATCTTTCCCTAATTGCATGAGAATAAGGTTACACTTAATTATTATTTAGAATTTCTATAGTACATTTATACAGGCAAATACCTTAATTGAAGTAACCAGGATGTACTGCCTTCTCAACATCCACTTGAATATCTAATAAGCATCTCATGGGAACAGATTGTGAGGACAGAAAAAAAATAAATAATAATAATAATAAGTATCTCAAATTTAACATATCAAAAAAAAAAAAAAAACTTTCCTGATATTCACCCCTTCCCAACCTGCTCCTCCTGCAGTCTTCCCCAACTCAGTTAATGGCGACACCATTCTTTCAATTGTTTGGGTCAAAACCTTGGGGTCATCCTTGACTCCCTTCTTCGTCTCACACTTCACATTCAGCCCACTAACAAAGCCCATCAGCTCTACTCTCTAAATATACTCCAAATGTGCTGCCAGCTTAGTCCTACTGGCTGCCATCCCTCACCTGAATCACTGCAGCCCCTGACGACTGCCCTCCCTCCTCCCACTCCCACTGCTTCAGTCTATTCTCAGCATAGCAGACATAGTGAGCCTGCTGAGCAGCCTACATTAGAAGATGTCTTCCTCCACTGCCCCCACCCACCGTGGCTGCCCAGCTACTTGGAACAAAAGCAGAAATCCAGACTATGATGACAACGTAAAATAAAAATAAAATTTTAAGCCCCCCAAACCATTTGAATGGACCCCCTCCTCTTGGCCAAGGGCATTCCAAAGTTAATCTGAAAAACTAGTTCAGGCCTCCATGGGAAGTGAGGGCTGGGCATGCCTCATTATGCCCTCCTCCCTTTGGAATTCAGGTACAACTGACCATTATATTATTAACATTAAAACAGAGAACTTAAGACTTTTTGTAGCAATAAGACGCCAAATTCTGGCCTGCCTCTAATATAGCATCACAGGACACATAGCAGGCCCTGAAAGAAATCAAAGTATTTTACCCTAAAATGTGTTTATTTGATATATTTTGAAACGGCCCTGCAAAGCTGTCTCTTGTGGGGAAAATCTACATTCTGTAGAGAATCCTTTTCCCCTTCCAGGTCTTTTCCCTGATCCAGGAGAGAATTAGCTAAGAGTCTGGCATCTTTTTAAGTCTGATAAGAAACATTTACAATTTTATTTTCTCTGAAGCCTACCTGGAGGCTTCATCTGCATAATAAGAACCTTGGGATTATAACCCCTTATCTTAACCCAGAGACTCCCATCTATGAATTCCAGGTCTTTAGATAAAAATTATTTCAATCATTTGCCCATCAGAAAATCTTTGAATCCCCCTATGACCTGGAACTACTCCCTGCCCCACCACTTCAGTTGTCCTGCCTTTCCGTACTGAACCGATGTACATCTTACATGTATTGATTGATGTTGTATGTCTCCCTAAAATGTATAAAACCAAGCTGTGGCCTGACAACCCTGAGCATATATTCTTGGGATCTCCTGGGCCTTTGTCACAGGCCATTGGTCCTCATTGGCTTGGAATGAATCTCTTCAAACATTTTACAGAGATTGACTCTTTTTGTGGACAACAAGGACTCCCGTGAACTTTCTAGCCTCCAACCACCAGATCTGCTCCTTCTTTGGGACTTTGTACTTTGCTCTCGGCACTCTCTTCCCTACAATATCTGCATGGAAGTTTCCCTCACTTTTTTTCCAGTCTTACTCAGAAAGGGGCATTTGAGTAAGACATCTGAACCAAGTTCCCTGGCAATTTTATCTAAAATTGCAGCTCCCCACTCCTGATATGTCCTTTCCTCAATCCTGCCTTATCCTCCTACCCCCTTCAACACTATACCTAATCCCCTACATACTTAGTGTAATCTGACATAATGCTATTTAATCACCTGTCTCCCTTTCTAGAATGCAAAAAGCAGAAGGGCAGATATTTTATCCCTTTTATTCATGACTCTGTCTTCAGGGTCTAGCACCAAGTATGGGCTCAACAAATATTAATTCTCAAAAAAAAAATATGAAAGAGCTTCCAGCTACCTTCACCATAACACCAGGGATGATGTCTTCTGCTATTAAATTTGCACCTTGCCACACATGCTATTCTTTCTATATTTGTAATTTTCTTTTTTCTTTTTTTTTTTTTTTTTTTAAGATGAGGTCTTGCTATGTTACTCAGGCTGGTCTTGAACTCCTGGCCTCAAGCAATTCTCCTACCTCAGCCTCCCAAAGTACTGAGATTACAGGCATGAGACACCATGCCCAGCCCAAACATACTATTCTTTTCCTAGTGGACATTTCAGACCATGAAAATAGAAGAGTAACTGTGGCAAGGGGAGTTGGGTGGGAGACGGATGGTGCTTTGGCTCACATATGATTTGTCTAGATGGCTCTGGATGCTCTATATCAGCTGGAAAAAACCACAGCAGCTTTATGCAGAAATAATGAGCACCCAATCAGAACTACATGTGCCTGAGGACAGTAGAAACTTTTCAGAGCAAATCAGCTCAAGGAGCAACAATTTCTCCACTGAATATTGACTAGAATGGAACCTACCACCAGCCTACAAAGGTGAATCTGAAAAGTCTTTGGGTATCATTCAAATAACAAAAATCACTGAGGCCCTGGTAGTAAAATGGAAACAGTATAGTCCTTATACCAGGCAACTGCTACCAGCTGACATGTGTTATGTACATAACCAGATCTTCTGATTTTTCAAGAAAAGCCAGACTTTAGATTTCATGTGAAATTCCTCAAATGTAAAAAGTTGTCCTCTTATTCAATTTTTTTTTTTTTTTTTAAGATGGAGTTTCTCTCTCATTGCCCAGGCTGGAGTACAATGGTGTGATCTCAGCTCACTGCAACCTCCACCTCCCAGGATCAAGCAACTCTCCTGCCTCAGCCTCCTGAGTAGCTGGGATTACAGGTGTGCACCACCATGCCCTGCTAATTTTTCTGTATTATTATTGGAGACAGGGTTTCACCATGTTGGCCAGACTGATCTTGAACTCCGAACCTCAGGTGATCTACTTGCCTCGGCCCCCCAAAGTGCTGGGATTACAGGTGTGATCTACCACGCCTAGCCAGCTCTTACTCAAATTTTTAAATAGCAACACTGCCATATTCTGTGGGACAAACAAAACAGCTTCTAACCACATTCAGCTGGGACTCAACATTTGCCTTATATGCTAATGAAAGCTAAACCCAATTCTGAGAAGACTAAACCCATATAATCAAACTCCTATCTGTTTTAATCTTCTGTTAAATTTCTTCCTCATAGTCCTAGCCAGGGCAATCAGACAAGTGAAGGAAATAAAAGGCATCCAAATTGGTAAAGAGGAAGTCAAACTGTTGCTGTTTGCTGATGATATAATGGTATACCTAGAAAACCCTCAAGACTCGTCCAAAAAGCTCCTAGATCTGAACAACGAATTCAGTAAAGTTTCAGCATACAAAATCAATGTACAAAAATTAATGGCACTGCTATACACCAACAGTGACCAAGCTGAGAATCAAATCAAGAACTCAACCACTTTTACAACAGCTGCAAAAAAATTAAAATAATTAGGAATACACCTATCCAAAGAGGTCAAAGATCTCTATGAGGAAAACTACAAAACACTGCTGAAAGAAATCATAGACAACACAAACAAATGGAAACACATCCCATGTTCATGGATGGGTAGAATCAATATTGTGAAAATGGCCATACTGCCAAAATCAATCTATAAATTCAATGCAATACCCCTCAAAATACCATCATCATTCTTCACAGAAAGAGAAAAAAAATTCCTAAAATTCATATGGAAAAAGAAAGCCCACATAGCCACAGCAAGACAAAGCAAAAAGAAATCTAGCGGCATCACATTACCTGACTTCAAGTTATACTCCAAGGTTATGGTTACCCAAACAGCATGATACTGGTACAAAAACAGGCACATAGACCAATGGAACAGAATGAAGAACCCAGAAATAAAGCCATATACATACAGCCAACTGATCTTCCACAAAGCAAACAAAAACATAAAGTAGGGGAGAGGTCACCCTATTCAACAAATGGTGCTGGGATAATTGGCAAGCTCCATGTAGAAGAATGAAACTGGATCCTCATCTCTCACCTTATACAAAAATAAACTCAAGATGGATCAAAGACTTAAATCTAAGACCTGAAACCATAAAAATTCTAGAAGATAATATCAGAAAAACTCTTCTAGACATTGACCTCAGCAAAGTTCATGGCCAAGAACCCAAAAGCAAATGCAACAAAAACAAAGATAAATAGATGGGACTTAATTAAACTAAAAAGCTTCTGCACAGCAAAAGAAATAATCAGCCAAGTAAACAGAGAACCCACAGAGCGGGAGAAAATATTTGCAAACTATGCATCCAACAAAGGACTAGTATCAAGAATCTACAAGAAACTCAAACAAATCAGCAAGAAAAAAAAAAATAAATCATCTCATCAAGAGTGGGCCAAGGACATGAATAGACAATTCTCAAAAGAAGATATACAAATGGCCAACAAACAGATGAAAAAAATGTTCAACATCACTAATTATCAGGGAAATGCAAATTAAAACTACAATACCATACCACCTTACTCCTGTAAGAATGGCCATAATTTGAAAATAAAAAAAAATAGATGTTGGTGGGAATGTAGTAAAATGGGAATACGTTTATACTGCTATGGGAATGTACAACCACTATGGCAAACAGTATGGAGATTCCTTAAAAAACTAAAAGTAGAACTACCATTTGATCCAGCAATCCCACTCCTGGGTACCTACCCAGAGGAAAAGAAGTCATTATATGAAAAAGATACTTACACAGTCTTGTTTATAGCAGCACAATTCATGATTGCAAAAATATGGAACCAGCCTAAATGCCCATCAACCAAAAAGTGGATTAAGGAAAAGTGGTACATATATATATACTATGGAATACTACTCGGTCATAAAAAGGAACAAAATAATGTCATTTGCAGCAACCTGGATGGAGTTGGAGAACATTATTCTAAGTGAAGTAACTCAGGAATGGAAAATCAGACATTGTATGTTCTCACTGATAAGTGCGAGCTAAGCTATGAGGAAGCAAAGGCATAAGAATGATATAATAAACTCTGGTGTCTTGTGGGGACAGGTGGAAGGGGGGTTGAGAGATAAAAGACTGCACATTGGGTGCAGTGTACACTGTTCGGGTGATGGGAGCCCCAAAATCTCAGAAATCACACCTAAAGAACTCATCCATGTAACAAAATACCACCTGTTCCCCCAAAACTATTGAAATAATAATAATAATAAAAGAAAAAAGAAAAAATAAATATTTCCCTCATAGAAAATACTCTTCATGGTTTTCATACACAGCTCAGAAAGCTAAGTTAAAATGTACTTACTACTCACATCTTAAAACTTTACACACATGTGAGCATGTCCCAACTCTCAACTCACTGGACAGAGCAAGTGGGGAGCCTGCTGTGAGCCAAAAAGTATTTAGATAGGTCTCAATGAGCTTAGAAGTTTATTTTTCCCAGGATAAGGACGACATGCCCAAGAGAATAGAACACAGAATCACCGAAACAGTGCATGGTCTGTGCCTTTCTCCAAAGATGATTTTAAGGGCTTCCATATTTAAAGGGAAAAAGGGAGGGTGTGGTAACCCACATGTTGCAAGAGAAAAGGAGCAGGTTTGGTAATAGTCAATTATGTATTCATCTCAAGATAAGATGAACACAGAGTAGCTACCTGTGGTGATATTTAACCTTTTATCTGTAGCTATCTGCTTAGGAACAAAAGGAAAAGCAGTTTCTGGAGTGACTCAGCTTTCAGCTTAATTTTTTCCTTTTGGCATAGTGAATGGGGTCCTGAGTTTTTATTTTCCTTTCACACCAACCTCCACCCCAGGTGACATTCACTGTCCCCTCACAGGATCCCAAGTGTCCTTGGTGCCTACAATGGTAGGGTCTGACAACAGTGAGAGTGGTAGAGAAATTCCCAGCAACAGCAAGGGAGGAAACAAGGATTCTGTGTCTGCCAGAGAAGGAGGGAGGGGACAGCCTATTTGTGTGAAAAGAACACAGTAATAATTAATATGGTTAATTATTGCCCAAATCCCTTAGTAGACCAAGAGCCTCTCAAAAACTAGACTATATCTTATTAATCTATGTATTCAGAGAATCAATCATGGCACCTGGCACATAGTAGGCCGGGTGTTGGAGTAAGCAGAGCAGTTTTTGTATTATATGACATAGTAAAGAAAAAATTCCTGGTCCAACCCTCAGTCAGTGGTTCCAAAACTTCTCCAGAAAACTGCAATGTGAAATTTAACACTTCAGGGCAGGGGTGTGATTTGCAATTTCAGAATCACAAGCTGTACTGTTCTACTTCAAAATGTCACAATGGAAGAAAAAAAAATAAAATTAAAATCTTTTAAAATCGTTTATTTTAAGAAACAGGAGAAAAATCTACTCCCATTAGGAAGAGGTAAAACAACTGAGAATCCACGGAGATACGAACAAAACTGTTTTATAAAGATTTTGTACTGGGAAGTTATCTCAGTCATGAAACAGAAGCAAGCTGGCTTCAGCAAAGTCCCTGTAAAAGCGAGGAGTGGGGGAGCGTTCTGTGCAATCAGCCTCAACCTTCCTGCTCTCCCTGCAAACACATGTATTTTAAATGCAATGATTTTAGCAAGGGTTTGAGAACTGTTATTTGTTAGATGAAGACTATGTAATTAAACCCACCGTTCTGAAAGAAAAGCTTTGTGGGTACTTTTTTTTTTTTTTAATCTTCTGTGGCTGGGCTGGTAATTTTTTCCTGTCTCACACCTACTCAAAACCCAGGGGATTTGTCCTTGATGCCTGGCATGAATGTAATTACAGTACAGTTCTCTAGTGCATAGTTCAATCACAGCAGACAACTATTGATTTGTGTGTAAATCGGAATACATGTAATTTTCTCCAGACGAGGAGTTGTTAAAATGCATTAACAGCCTCGGGTTTCATGTTTTGGATATGGTGACAGTGGGGGTGTTGGTTGTTTTGCTTTATATTTTTCATTTTCTTTTTTTTCCTTTCCCCCAAGAACTGAGATAAGCTCTTTCTGAGCAGGAAAGCTCCACCGACTTGTTCTGACAAATTCCCATTCCAGTTTCACACTGGGTCACACGCAATCAGAAGAACAACGTAAGCAGGACTTCAGGGTGAGCAAAAAGGTTGAGGCTGATTGCACAGAACGCTTCCCCTCTCCTTGCTTTTACGGGGACTTTGCTGAAGCCAGCTTACTTCTTTTTCATGACTGAGATAACTTCCCAGGACAAAAAAATGTGTATTTATTTAATGATCCTAAAAGATTTTGTTTTCACATTTTTCTTTGAGTTGCAATAATAATAACACAAAATGTTCATTTTCTTCTTGTTTACACAAAACACTCTCTGATTGCTAAGAGACCACATAGTATAGTGGAAAAGGACAAAATTAGGCAGCTGAGAAGACCTGGGTATGATATCGGGTCTGTCTTGGCCCTGGGGAAGTCACATACCTTCCTTAGGCTAAGGTTTTCTATCTACAAAAGCTGACTGAGCATCAGTGGTTTTCAAATTGTACACCGTGTATTTAGGGTACAAATTTAGGGAAGGATACTTGGGTCTCTAGGACCCCACTCCCACCACATACTTTAGCCACAACAGGTCAGTTCTTATCTGTTTACATACTGGATTTCCACAGAGAAAGGGTTTCATATTTTTATATGTTTGAAAAAAATCTCTGTCCTTTCCAATTCTCACCTTCCATAATTCTGTGGCTTTTCTCTGGGATCACAGATAGCTTCAATTTCCTGCAGTACATAAGCTCATTAATGCAGACCACTATACAAAGTGGAAAACTGGTTCATGCATGATGGTTTTCTCCAATATGATCACCTTCACCATCAAAAATATGCATTTATTAAGCATTCATTCATGCATAGTGCCATGTGCGTTACTTTTCAGCACATGCAAAGTGTATAGGCTTTGTTTTAAATTTGAGAGGCTGAATGATTTTATAGATTTTGGAAATGAGAAATCCTGATAATTCTTTCAATGTAGTATAGCTATTAAGTAGCAGAGGCAGTGATAAAAATGAATAATATATTTGAAAATGCTTTTGTAACACAAACTATAATGGTCAATAAGCAATTAAACAGTTTCATCTGGAATCACTGTTGCCACGGGATATTAATGGTTCCCCATAGTACCAAACAAGAAACTATCGTGGCTCTATGCAAATAAACAGATTTCAACATCCATTCCAAGTCGGAAGTAAATCTTCTCAGGAAAAGAGCATCTAAATACCACCTATTACCACAGGCACTGGAAAGAACATTAATCCCCCAGAACATATGATATAAATTCCAAGAGCAAGCCGCTACTGGGGAAGAGGTGAAATATCGAGTTCAGGTTGGGAACATAGAGATCTGCAGCGTTACACACCCACAGTCAGAATTGGCAATTCACATTGGGAGGGAGCAAAGCCTACCATAAAAAATTAATGAATGAAAGCCCAGTATTCAAAATGCACTTTAAGCAATACTTAAGCAAAGACTAACACTTAGCAATAAAGATCATAAAGCAACAAGGAGATAACTTACAGTTGACCACAGTAATAAAAAGAAATGAACCATATTGGACTACAATAGAAACTGTTACCTTAGCCATACCAGTTGGTGTTATCACTAGGTCCACTATGAGAAGAAACCAGAGATCGATATTGGCATCAGCTCAAATCTTTTTTATACCATTGTCTATCTACCTTGTTGAAGAAACACTGTCACCAAAGCTAGAATGCAGCTTTTAAAAATCGAGAAACCATAAAGAATAAATACTTATCTAGGTGTCCTTTTTCTACTGTCTATTTTTGCCTTAATTTTTCTACTTTGTGAGCTGGTTTGGCCAACAAATTGAACAATTCAATTCTATGCTGAGTCTTTAGATTTAATACAATTCTTGATCTATCGACATTTGCCAAAACAAAATGGTCCCATGCCTCACAACTAGGATAAAATATAAAATGAGGTTTCCCACCAAAGAGAAATAGCCCAAATACTCCAGTGTTTAAATAATTTTGAATGCTTTAAGGGGGGACTTTAGAATTCTGATAATCTTATGTACAACCACAAATAACACAATTAGATTTCTTTTCAAATGTTACAGAAATTCGTAAGAGGTGGCACTAAAGTTATTTAAAATCTACTACCCATCATGGAAGTTAAATTTTTTAAATGTGCACCGTGTAGCATTCAGTACCATAGTACAATCCTCCTTCTAGGAAATCATGTGGTGAAAGAAAAATCACCTAAAAAGCAGACAGTTCATGGACACCAGTTTGGCTACATCAAGCCATGAGTCTGTGGCTCCTGGAATCAATGAAAGAACATCCTGTGGGGTTCATTTCCATCTGAAACCAATAGTGATAGTTGTTAGTGCTGTCTGCCAAATATTTCTGGTTCTCCCTATTTCCAGGCACAGGACAGGATTGCCTTTTCTGGCCCCCTTATGGTTGTGTGGAACCACATGACTAGTTACAGCCAGTGACTTGTGAGCCAAAGGGAAATAAACTCCTTCTTATTTACTTGATAATTCAAGACTTTTAAGAGCTCTCTCCTTCCTCCAGCACAGTGACCAGAAGTAAGCTTTTGTTTGTTTGTTTGTTTGTTTGAGACAGGGTCTTGCTCTGTTACCCAAGCTGGAGTGCAGTGATGCAATCAGAGCTCACTGCAGCCTCAACCTCCTGGGCTCAAGTGATCCTCCTGCCTCAGCCTCTCGAGTAGTTGGGATCACAGGCATGTGCCACCAAGTCTGGCTAATTTTTTTTATTTTTTGTAGAGATGAAATCTTGCTGTGTTGCCCAGGCTAGTGTCTAATTCCTGAGCTCATGCAATCCTCCCATCTCAGCCTCCCAAACACTGGGATTAAAGGCATGACCAACTGCTCAGTATTAACGATGGATAATGCTCTATCTGTCTGGGTCCCAGAGTGAGTCTAGCTCCCAGGTATGGACACATCATGAACAGATAGCACAAGAGAATTAAGCCTATGTTGCTTTAGGCTGCTGAGATCTGGGGATAGTTTGTTACTGCAGCACTGCTTAGTTTATCTTGACTGATACAATGCTTCGTAAGTTTGGATCTTCTTGGTGCAGGGGTAATGTACACAAGAATAGACGACCATAACAGACTCCAAGAACTGACCTGATCTTCACTGGGAATTCCCCAAATCAAGGATTATGCTAGATCTCTCAGGCTGAAGACCCTAGCTCCTCTATCCCACATCCCTAAGCAGTTCTCTAAAGCCAAAAGGAAATTCAGGGTCTGTAGGCTTTCAAACTATTGTCCCCCCAACTAAATTGCTTCCGTGAGATAGGTTATTCCCTGCCTTCTTTCCCCAAAATGTTTTGGACATTCGATCCAACTGCCAAAATAAAATAACAAATCATGAGCAATACACTGAGGGAATTAGAGTAAAAGTTGTTTGTAGCTTCCATAGGATAGAAAGTTTGACAGGTTCATTCCCTTTTCAGTACTAAAGGCTGACATAGCACATAACCATCTTGGTATAGGACAGTTTTCCTCACAAAGCATTTATTTCAGGCTCTTCAATTATTAAAAATTACTTCTATAAAAAGTAAATATTTTAAGAAGAAATATTTCTTCAAGTCAGTGCTCATATTTTGATGGGAAGGGGAATTTCTTTCATTTTTTTGTTTATATTCACTGTTCATTTATCACAGCACTGGGCTGTCATGATAACAGCTTCTAAAAACAAGACTCCTTGACATTTTACCACAACCTTGGAAGACTGGGGATTTTTATCCACTTTTCACTCAGATGTATGATTTTATGTAATGTCAAAGAATTTTGAGTGCATTTTTTCAGAAAAAAAACTCTGCTAACCAGACTTATGATCAAACTAGAAACATTTTGACAGAGACCACCATTAGCAGAAAGTTATATGAAAAATAAAATGAAATGAGAAATGATGAAATACTGTTTTCTTTCTTTCTCTTTCTTTTTTTTAAAGCTGAGAGAGTCCATGGAAACAATAGCTTAGTAAACCTCTTACCCTCAACAACCGCGAGCTTCAGAAAATATTCTCTGAACTTAGCATTTGGAATAAGGCTTTATACTTAGCTCTTTGTTTTCTCCATCTCCTCTGATGGTAGTGATACGTTTTTTAAATGCCTAAAACCTTTCCTTGTACCTAAGAATTCCCTAGGTTTCATGAATTATTGCAAATGGGTAATCACAAGTGCAAATGAGGAATTTGTAACACAAGTACCCATCTGTGCATGCAATTAACTGCCTCCAGCAAGTAATTGCCTGTTTTTACAAAAGCCTACTTAGAAACCTCAACTTAAGAATGTATTTTTTTTAATAATTCTGCCATAACACACAGCAGAACTTTTTCTTGGGACCAACACTTTCAAACAAGCTGCCAAATAATCTATAATTTTTAATCTTATAAAGATTATACCTAAGCAGCCAATCCCACTGTAACTGATTCCAGAGGAGCCTGACACTTCTAGACATACTCAGGGAATTTTTCAATCAGTACCAGCCTTTTGTCCAAGAGACCCCAGCATGGCTAATCCTCATGGGAACTACTCCTGTTGAGGCACCTTTGGGAGATATCTGAAGCTTTTAGTATTGTTTTCATCAATTCATTCAAGAAATATCTGTTGAACACCTATGAAATACAAAGCCTTCTGTTCTAAGCTCCATGCAAAATATAAAAATGAATTTTAACATTGAATCTTCTCTTAAAGAACTTACAATCAGAAATAGAAGACTTAAAGCTAATTATTCAAAATCCAAGTACCTTTGTAATTCAATATTGTGAAGGTGTACCTGTTACCTTACTAGGCCACACCTACCTAGCAAAACAGTCATGTGTTTTGGGTAAAAATCATGCTTGCAGCAGGATCTGAGCCTCCGTTAAGTTGTGTCACTGATCCCCTACTCCCCTGAAATTGGCCTGCTTGCCTTCCCTTTGCAAGGTCCCCCAGTCTCCTTGATAGTCATAAACATTTTTCATTAGCTGCTATTGACTTTGCTCTCCTCCATCTGCTGCCAAAAGTCTTAATCCATGGCTATTTTTGATCTTGTGCCAAGCTGCTACTTCCTTGTTATTACCAAATACCCTATCGTTCCTCTCACCACTGTTGCCTTACCTTTAAATATCACCTACATACTGAAAACTCCCAAATTAAACTTCCCCTGATGCCCAGACTCATCTACCTGCTTGGTCAACGTCTCCACTTAGGTATCTGATTATCATGTCAGACTTGTTTCCTAAAACTGAACCAAACCTGCTCCTCCAATGATTTCCCCATCTCAGTGATGGACAGTTCCACACTTTAAAGTTACGATCATCCTTGCCTTCTCTCTTTCTCTCACACTAGACCTCCAATCTGTCAGCATATCTTTTTGAATCCACCATCAGAGGGGTCAGATTCCCACCACTTCTCACATCTCCACTGTTAACCACCCTGATCCAAGCTGCCATCTCCTCTTGCCTGGATTATTGTAATTGTCTCCCAATGGGGGCCCCTGCTTCTACCTTAGCCCTGCTAGAGTTATTCTCCCACTCAGTCATCAGATGGCCCTTTTAAACATCAGTATTTCACTCTTATGATCAG
The DNA here is from genome assembly GCF_000001405.40 of Homo sapiens. Taxonomy (NCBI): domain Eukaryota; kingdom Metazoa; phylum Chordata; class Mammalia; order Primates; family Hominidae; genus Homo; species Homo sapiens. Next base: position 75,883,995 of record NC_000012.12, read on the forward strand.
GGCTTTCCGTCTCACTTAGTCAAAGCAGAATTTCCTATAAGAATCAGCAGAATTTCCTATAAGAATCTACAAGATCCTTCATTGACTGCCCTACAACCCATCTTTCTTTTATCATCTTCCACACCACCACCACCCCCAGTCATTAGGATTCAGCAAAACTGGCTTCCATGTTCCTCCTTGCACACACTAGGCATGGACCTCTTCTCACATGTTGAGATCCTCTTCCCCAGGTGTCTGTGACTCATTCCCACCCTTCTTTCAGGTCCTCTTATCCTAGGGGTCTTCCCTGAGCTCTACAATAATTCCTGCCCCCTGCTCACTACCACTCTTCCAGTCCTGGACCCACTTTATTTTTGTCTGTAACCCTTCTTGCTGTATGATATATGCTTATTTTCTGCCTCCCTTATTAGAATACAAGTTTCACAAGGGCTGAAGTTTTGTTCTGCTAAGTTTTCTAGCATCTCAAATAATGCCTGCCACATAGCATTATGTGTGTATGAATGAATAAAAATGAACTAATGAACATTCCTAAGGTGAAAGAGGCTCCTCTCCCCATCAGAATTAAAATCCTTATTTGGCTTACAAAATAATGTCCTTGCCCTCTTTATTCTTATCTTTCTCATGCAGAAAAAACTGGAAGAATGTCTCAGATTGCCACAACTTGAAGAGTTACTCTCAAAGACAATAAACTAGCATCCTAGAATGCGGTCTGGGTTCCTCTAATCTCTAACCTCAGGTTGAATTCTTTGCCTTAAAGGATAATCCCCAAGAAGCTGAGGGAGCTCGTTGTTTGAGTCTTACCTTCACCGTTCTGGTGCTCAGGTTTCAGTCACCTTCCTCTTCCTGCGCTCTCCTAGGCCACCTGTCAGTTCTTCATGATAATAAGATCCCTAGTCAGCTCAAATCTCCTGCCTTAGGACTACCTTTGAAAACACATTATACACACAAGAAGAAAGGATGGAAAAAGTAAACTTTTTCACTTAACCTTATACTTACCCCTTAAATTCAAAAAGCAATAGCGTTGATTAACACTAAGCTCAAATTTTCAGATACTCAACTTTCTCACTAGGAAACTGAAGCACTATCTTCCTCAGTAGGTAATTATAAGTTGCTAAGGAGATGTGACAAAGTGATTGAAGGAAACCAAAAGGGATACAATCTTCAGAATCCAACCACTTTTAAAAAAGAGTAAAAATGAAAAGAAACTCTCCCAAATGCCAAGAGAAATATAAAAACAAATTATATATGAATTGATGTGCTAAAAAGACTGTGCTCTGCTAAAATTGGGGTACTATTTTTAAAGATTTAGTTTGATTTATTCCATTATGTCTAAGGTAAAAAAAAAAAAAAAGTTTGAACCATTATCAAAGCTCAGCAAATCAATTTCAGTATGTGCCTTTCAAAAATTTCTCTTACATCTAAGTTAATAAGCTTACTTTTTAAAATTATGGTTCAAAAACTTAATTGGATAAAGATATTATTGTATATTTTCCATTTATGTACCAATAATGTAGCTTTCCCTATTTTTAAGATACAGCAAGTTACAGAACATAATTCTGTTGTTCAACAACAATAAGATTTGAGGAAGAAGAGAAAGAAAACAAGAACGAATTACTAAAATAGAGAAAATTCTATGGCAAAAAAGTTTCCTTTCTATAGTTTAAATACTGGCCCTTCTGCATGAAATAACAAAATAGTTTTTATTTTTCTGAGTTGGAGTCTTGATCTTGTTGCCCAGGATAGAGTCCAGTGGTGCAATCTCAGCTCACTGCAACCTCTGCCTCCCGGGTTCAAGCGATTCTCCTGCCTCAGCCTCCCAAGTAGCTGGGATTACAGGTGCCCGCCACCACACCTGACTAATTTTTGTATTTTTAGTAGAGATGGGGTTTCACCATGCTGGTCAGGCTGGTCTCAAACTCCTGACCTTATGATCCACCCACCTTCGCCTCCCAAAGTGCTGGGATTAGAGGCGTGAGCCACTGCGCCCAGCCCAAAATTTTTCTTATTATAAAACTTTCTCACAAAGGCAAAATCAAGCTACGTATGAAGAAGAAGGGGTAGGAAACAATAGGAGGCCCTTTTACAATAAATAGCCCTATGGTTTTTGCTTTCTTACTGGATAAGAAAGCAATAAAAGCATTCTTTACTGCAAAAAAAAAAAAAGTTTATGCTTTACTGCAATAAAAGCACAATTACATGGATGGGGTGCTCTGGGGGCCTGCAGAGCATTTAATCACAGATTTTCCCCCTCAGGTTCTGATTCTACAAAAAGGACATTAAATAAAGTGCCACATGTTCACATTTTCAGTTTAATTACCTCTTTAAAATGCTAAGATTTTTGAGCCACATGGGACTCATGTAGATTTTCAATTACATAGGAATCAATATTTTAAATCATTACATTCTCATTACACCTTCCTGCAGTTCATGCATTACCCTATCTATATTTAATATTATGCGTTTAAATAACTTGCCTAAGCCCATTTAACAAGTTAGTAAAAGAACAAAAATGAGACTTGCCGCAGCAATTCTGCATACTAGCTGAGTGACCTTGGGTTGGAATCCAAACCCCTGTGGGTCCCTATAAAAGAAGAAAGTTAGACCAGAAGATCACAGCATCTTTTCTTGCCTAATAGCCAATGATTTCCTATTCTTGATTTTACACTCAAACCTCTTATCTGTAATGTGTTTGAAGGTAAGACTCTCAAAATTCAGCATTATTGTCTCTCTCCGAGGACATCCTGAAGATAAGCCCTTCAAGCTCTTCGTCAACCAAAACCCTCATTTATATGAGTGCTTATTCCTTTTATAATTTCTTGAAAGAAGTTTTTTGACATCAGTGAAAATGAACACCCTCTCTGTTCACTATATCCAATAACCCATAGTATAACACTACCATCCTCAGACCTTTCCAAGTCTTCCTCTTTCACCTCTCAGCTCTCATTGAGCTAAACAATTTTGATTCTTCTTGATTTTTCTCCATAATTTGTTTTCCTACACCTTTGTCATTTTCTTCAGCCTTTGAATTATCCATCTTTAAGTAATATAATATGGAAACCTAATTTATTGTTTGAGTAGAAAATGTCCTTGTTCTCCCAATATGTTAGGAATTACTTTTTCACTCCAATGCAGGGAAATGTGGTGGTATTGTTTTGTTTTGTTTTGTTGTTTGTTTGTTTGTTTGTTTGTTTGTTTTGAGATGGAGTCTGGCTTTTGTCACTCAGGCTGGAGTGCAGTGGCGCGATCTCGGCTCACTGCAACCTCCGCCTCCCAGGTTCAAGCGATTCTCCTGCCTCAGCCTCCTGAGTAGCTGGGATTACAGGCGCGCCACCACGCCTGGCTAATTTTTTTGTATTTTTAGTAGAGACAGCGTTTCACCATGTTGGCCAGGCTGGTCTCGAACTACTGACCTCAGGTGATCCACATACCTCGGCTTCCCAAAGTGTTGGGATTACAGGCGTGAGACACCACGTCTGGCTGTTTTGTTTTAATTAACTATACCGAGCTACATTATTACCTTATAGTCAGCTTTTCATTTCACTATCTCCAACTCTATCTGGTGGCTCTAATCTATAATCAGTAGTTATCTATTCTCTATGTTTTATAGTTTCATTCTCCTCCAGATGTAAAATCCAATGACAGAACAAAGTTCTGGCCAGTAGGGTCTTGTTATGGGCTAAATTGTGTCCCCCCCAAAATTCACAGGCTGAAGTCCTAATCCCAAGTACAGTAGAATGTGCCTGTATTTGGAGATAAGGCCTTCAGTGAGGTAACTAAAGTTAAATAAAGTCCCAAGGGCAGGTCCAACCCAATATGACTGCTGTCCTTATAAGTGGAAGAAATTTGGACACAGACATGTACAGAAGGAAGATCATATAGGGACACACAGAGAAGACAGCCATCTACAAGCCAAAGAGAAAGGCCTCAGAAGAAACCAATCCTACTGACACTTTGATCTCAAACTTCTAGCCTCCAGGACCGTGAGAAAACAGATGCCTTGTTTAAGCCATCCAGTTTGTGGTACTTTGTTATTACAGCCCTAGAAAACAAACATAAGAAGAGACACCTCTCTCTTGGTTGTGACCTTCGAGGAGAAAATGACATTGCTGCCCTCCATATTCATTGCTGCTAGAAGGAGGAGTAAGGTGGAAAGCATGCCTCATTCCAGCACACACACAATATCAGTGGCTCACACAGTGTTCCACTATCACCACCCACATGCCCAGTCCCACTGATACAAGTGGACAGATTTAGGACTTTCACAAGAAGAAAAGCACATTTCTCAGTAAATTAAACTAGATCATCAATGTTTCACCCTTATTTTTTTCTTTATACTCAAAGAAATATTAACAGCCTAATAAATCTCAGGTAGGTAGCTAAATACCTAAAAATTTTCCAGAGAAAGAGTAAGACCAAATTTACTCTTGATGTCTTGCCCCTAATCTTAGCACCAGTGACTATTGTACTAGATGTTTCCTCAAAGTTTTTATTCCAGGGGTCCAGCTCAGTATACCCAAGGGAAAGCAGACTTGGGTATACTCTTTTCAGAGAAGTCTAACAGTTGAGCCTGGAACCAAGGCTAGAATTCCTAAGAAGAAAGGCTTACTCATCAGATTTTCACAAAACAGCTCAATGCTTTTCATTTTTCCATTTATTTTTCATTTTCATTTTCATTTTTCCATTCATTCACTTTTTCAGGAAATATTTATTGTGCATCTAGTGTGTGCAAGGTTCTGTAGTAAGGGCCAGAGGTATAAATGATGATAAAGCATCAACATAACAAAAAACCATAAGAATTGTCCCCCCAGAAAGCTAGAGCATGAGGATTTCTAAGAAAAGGGAAGAGTGAGAAATCACAGAAATCAAAAATTTAGGATTATGAGAGAAAAAACATTCCAAAGATCAGCTGCCCTATTTTTTCCAGGACATTTTATCAGTTCAGGAAATCAAAATAAAAATATCACATCATTTGAACAGATATTCAGATGTGATGGGCAAACTATAGTCGTGTGACAGCTCACAAAGAGAGATAAATATTTTCCTCTGCCTCCTTCCCTCTCTGACAAATATGCTGATCGGCTCCTTTGCAACTCCCCCAAATACATACTATTTACATTCATTGAAGACAGCCAAATCGTTTTACAAGTGTATTTCAGTGTTTTGAATCTTCTAACATCAGGCAATCCCTGTTACTTTCTTTGAAACAAGTTTCCACTATGCAGAGAGAATAAATAAACACACTCTGTGCTGTTAGCAGGTTCACTCTGTTGTCTGGGTTGCGGGGAATGGAGGTGGTGGCAGTGGCAGCACTGATGGCGATGGCCGGGCTCAACCCGAAGGGAACAGTGCTGCTTTTTCTTGCAGCCCTGGGAGAGAATCGCAGAGTGCTGCAGGAAGAGGGAAGATCCTGAACCCACTCAAGAGAGCGCCTCAAGGGCAATGGTGTTCTCTCTTCAGGCACGTGATCGGGAACAAAGGAATCTTTATTCATCTCTTTCTGCTGTACTGGTTTGCTTTATATTCCTTATAAGCAGCTGAAAAAGACCATGAGCAGCCCTTTCAATCAGCTGAGGAAGAGAGGAAAGGTTTCAGAAGAGAGAAGCTGTCAATTCTGAGAATGGTTTATTCACATTATAGAATAATCTTTCAAGAAAAGAACTCTACAGGACTGATCTTTTAATTATAGAGGGATAAATACATCTGTGAAATCTACCAATTTCACTTTGGATTAAATACTCTTACTAAAAGCCAGATATTCAGTAAACAAAGATCTCAATTTGGAAATGGCTTTTCTCCCTAATACGTGTCTTCTAGCTAACGTCCTACCCCATTCCACCCCCAAATTCTAGTTGCTATTTGAGAAACAAAAATACATAACCTATTAGAGATGGAGTTTGAGGGTCTTAGATATGTTTCATTTGCTACCAAGCAAGCTCTGGATTCTCAAAAATGTTGATCAATTATCTGTGAATAATTTTAAGATCACAGTGTCTTATAGGGAATATTTTTTGATTTATCAAAGAATCTCAACATATTTAATCCTATGCACAAATCACATCCCAGCTGTGGTTGAGAAATACAAGCAAGAATCACAGTTAGAGTCTTTGGTGTACCTTCACGGTGCCAAAGACAGGGTGGGCAAAGATACACACTCCATAAATATTTATTTACAGAAATGACATTGTTCATAATTCCAGAAATTCCACCAAAATTTTAAATTGCAATTTCTTCTAGTTCTTTTTGGATGTAAAACAAGCATAGAAACAGTGCCTGGCTCCTAGCTGGTTGTGTCTTTCCTGGCTCATTTTTTATGTAGTGCCTCTGACTAAAACAGCCCAGAAGCAATTCTCTTGTCCACAAACAAGGGAGCCAACAGCTTTCTGTGGCCCTTTTCCATCTCCCAGTATTCTGGATGAGTCAACCCTCTTCCTTGGGGGTTTCTGGAGACTTTTGCAAGTGCCCATTTCAGAAAATCCCATTTCCACTTGAAGTATTTATCCCAGAAAAAGAAAAGATTAAAGAAAAAGAAAACCCTGAGTTTTCTCAAAAACTATTTATTTGCCATTGATGTTCCCGCTTACGTTTTGTGGAAATCCTTCTCTAACTTGATATTTACACAATATTGTAACATCTCCTTTTTGTGTTATTTCTTAACTTTGAAATAAATGGAGATTCTTTAATAGATGACATTTAGACAGATGTCATTCCAACAGTAGGCTGATTCTTCCTATTACTTAGAAATTGTTTAAATTCTGAGGCATTCTCATTTATGTCTATTGGCATCAGTTAACCTGTGGTTCCAAAAGCTAGTGCCAAGTTTTGGTTCTTCCTGTTTGCAAAATCAACCTTTCCCCATGTCAGCTGTTCCTAGGGTGGAGGCGGTCACAGAGTTCCCAGCAACACTTCTTGTCAATGTACCCTGTGGCGAACATCTCTTCTGTTCCCTAGATCTCATCCCTAGATCATTGTCCATTCTTCTCAGATGCTTCCCTCAGCATTCAGGGCCCAGGCTCCAGGAATCAACATTGCTTCAAAATAATCTCATAACTAGCTTCTAGACCAGTTTTCAGCCAGTCTCTTTTTAAATCTTCTTCACAAAAATTTTGAGGCTAACCCATCCGATTTTAATCTAAGTAAGGAGAGGACAAAGATTATTTACTTGACCAAATTTTGGGCAAGCTCCTGAAACTTCTCCTAGGCTCATCTGTGTACTTTCTTATAAAGTCCAGTTTTAACAAAGAATCCTGCTGAGTCAGTTTAGCAAGCACTTCCACCCTTGATATCCGAGCACCCTCTGTATCTGGCTGGGTTCCTCCTCCTCCACCATCCCCCAGGTGATGTCTGCTTACCCTGGCCTGTCTTCAGTAAGAATCCTGTTAGGTCAGTTTAGCCAGAATCCTCCCTTGCCCCTGAAGTTTCCTCTTAGTAATTTTTTTTATCTAATGACCCCCACCGTGCTTCTTCCATATAAATTCCCACTTGCCCATGCCGTATTCTGAGTTGAGCCCAATCTCTCTCCCCCACTGCAGAATCTGATTGCAGTGATCTCTATACCTATTAAGATGGTCCTGAATAAAGTCTCCCTTCCTGTGTTTTAACAAGTATCATTGACTAGTTTTTTTCTTTAACAGAAAGGAAGAGATGGTATCAAGACATTTTCTCTTTATTATGGGTAGGTATGATATCACCTGTGGTAACTTTCATTTGTTCTGTACTTCCATAAAGCTAAGGAGCTTGGCTGAATAGGCTCAGCAGCCAGCTCTGGGCCCACACAGTCCTCTGTTCATAGAGGGGAAAGTGTCAGCTCACAGTTCTTCACTCATTCTCTCCATTCTACTTTGTCATTCCTCTGCTGTTACACTGACCTGCTGCCAGGTAAATGAAACTGACTTTTTTATTTTTATTTTTTGAGACAGAGTCTCACTCTGTCACCCAGGCTGGAGTGCAAGTGGCATGATCATAGCTCACTGCAGCCTAGTACTCCTGGGCTCAAGTGATCCTCCCACCTAGCCTTCCAAAAACCTCCACAGGTGCACACCACTACATTCGGCTTTTTTTGTTTTGTTTTGTTTTGTACACAGGGGGTTTCCCTTGTTGCCCAGGCTAGTCTCCAACTCCAACTCCTGGGCTCAAGCAATCCTCCTACCTTAGCCTCCCAAAGTGCTGGGATTACAGGCGTGAGCCACCACATCCAGCCATAAACTCTGACCTCTTGGGCAGATGGAATTTCCCTCAAACATAGTAGATTCCCCTGGCATAGGGTAGAGGGGGGATCCTTGAGAAAAACTGGATCATATTCTGCATGGCATATATTTCAAATATTATATTCTTACACTGTATTGTATATATTAGTTTGTAATTCTGTTTTCCCCTCTAAAGTGTCAACTTCATCAGGGGATGTTACCTCCTTAAAGGAAAAAGTATATTTTATTTATCATGGTTTTCTCAGTGCCTTACACATTGTAGATGCTCAATAAGTAATTGTCCATCTTCATGTACTGTTGTTCTTTTACACGGTCCTCAGGAACTCAGCAGAGGGGACTTGAGACAAAGGAAAGGAGCTTAATGGACCTCCCTCACAGGAATAACATTTAATAAAATAAGACAATAGGAGAGTAGGCCTGGGAACCATAAAGAAAGAAACCCCTAAAACAAGATTCAGGGAGGGGAACTATAGAAAAGAGGGAACAACCAAGGGCCATGTGTCAGCAATAAGAGATAAATATCTTAGAAAGTACTGATCTAAGACAAGCCCAGATCCCCCAAGTGCCATTTCAGAGCTTAAAGCAACTGCAAAAGACGAGGAACGGACTTTATCAGTAAGGGTCATGTTCCTCACCTCACTCCCACATTACACCCTACACACATCTCCCTCACTCCACAGGGACTTGATGAATATCATCTGTCAGCCTCCTTCCTTTCCTGGTTTCTCAATGAGCCTGTTTCCCTTCTCTTCCTTTATAAACCCCCCCCCGCCACATGCATTCTTTGATCTTGATAGGGCCTTATCTATCCCATATCCTCTGAAAGATAACCAGCTACTCAGAATGGCCTCTTCCTCACCACTGTCAGTTCCACCCCCGGCCACCTTGGCAGCAGTTCCAATCTTGCTTCACCTTACTCGCCACAGGCATTTAAGCACACCCAATGGGCCTAATCTTTACTGACCAGCAATGCCTGAGTAACTGATTTGAATAACCTAGATTTTTTTCTCTCTGGCCTGTAAAGAATTTCATGGAAAACCCACAGGCCTCTGCTGCTGGCTGCCATGATGAATAGCCATGTTTATTTTTCTGGTGTCTCTGTCTGTTTCTATTACACTGATGTGCTGTGTCCTGGTATCTCTACCTCTATTACATGGATGCACTGTGTTCTGGGAGTCTGACAAAATAAAAATATAACAATAACAACAACAGAAACCCTGCAAAATCTGGAGGATATCTTAAAATGACAGCCATCGTTGTCAGGACTATAGCATAGAAGGAGAGAGCTTGGGCATCTACCAATCTTGGATTTGAATCTTAGCTCTATTATAAGACTTTTTGCAAATTACTGAATCTCGCTGAGCCTTAGTTTTTTTAATCTGTAAAAGAGGACAAGAATACCACCTTCCTCGCAGGGTTACTGTGTACTTTTAACCATTCTGCCCACTACACAACTGCAATCCAAAAACATTGCACTTGGTTCCTCCTTCACTTATTTCCAAGAGATCCATGAGATCCCTGGTATCACAGAGTGAACCATGCTAGCCTAAAGGAGATACCATCCGAGTTCTGTTCATTATTTTTAACTATATTTAAGTGTATTTGATTCTTCAACAACTAGAGCCTAATTTTTTTGTATTCAATGGAATTTTTTTCAGGAAAAGAATCTGCACTAATTTATATGACTGATATACAGAGTAAACATAAAGGTTCACGAAGCCAGTGGTTCACAAACTGAGGACTACACATACCCTGGAGGCCTCAAGGAACACAAATTCATGCACTCGTTACGATTCATGTGAGGACTGAGTGAACAATGCTATGTAAACACACACAGATATATCCACATATATTCATATATATGCAACATTGCTGTTTCAAATATAGGTTGTTTATATAGAGGCTATTAATAAAATATATTTTAAAGTGTTATTTAATTTATAAAAGCTTTTATCATTGCCTATTTTCTCAGCCAACATTTGCTATTATAACACGTTGTGGTTCTACATTTTAATATTAATATTAATAATTAAATTGTGACACTGTTATTACTAGTAATGTCTATTATTAATTGTTAATAATAATAGCCAACATTTATTATGTGCCAGGCACTGTTCTAATGACTTAACATACATTATGTACTCACATACTCATTAAATCCTCACATGATCCTATACAGTAGACCTATTATCATTTCTAATTTATGTATTAGGAAACGGAGGCACAGAGAGGTGATGTTAACTTGCCACAGAGCTGGTAAGTGGCAGAGCTGGGATTCAAGCTCAGATATCTGGTTCCAGAGTCCAAGCCCTCTGTTTTCACATTTAATCAGTGGAGAACTCAGGTTTGCAATCATATATTGGTGTCACTGTTTTTAACCAAAAAATTATTTGTGACCTTGACGTTGATTTTATTTTCTATGAAAATGAGCATATTTCTAAGAAGATACAAACTTTGATATATGTGTGTACACTGGCATATATACAACCAGACGTACAACCAGGAAATCTGTGATAACTAAATTCAAACAAAATAATAATAGCTGAACAATGAGAACACAGGGACACAGGGAGGGAACAACATACACTAGGGCCTGTTGTGGGGGTGGGGGAAGGGAGAGCATCAGGATAAATAGCTAATGCATGCGGGGCTTAACTCCTATGTGATGAGTTGATAGGTACAGCAAACCACCATGGCACACATTTACCTATGTAACAAACATGCATGTCTTGCACATGTATCCCAGAACTTAAAATAAAATTAAATAATAATAATAATAAAAACAGTTCATGCTGGCTGGTCTGCCTACATATGCTCCAATCCAAGTAAGTCACATGGGCCAGAGTAAGTTTCCATTAATGGCATTTCCTTTGATTCTCATTTTGTCACCATCTTGCTGCTTTCACTTTTCTCTGCCTCTGTTAGGTAATTGGCTTTCCAATATTGAGCTATTTGATCCAATATTGAGCTATTTCCTAAATTGGGAGGTAACAACAACAGAAGCAACAACTACTGAGGAAGTTAAATGCAATAAAAATAGAATGACACATTTCAACTTTTCACCTCTCCACTTGAGATACATGAACAGTCACACTCACCTTCCATTTAGTTGATTGAACTTTCGAGAACATTCATTGACTCTCTGCCATGTGCCAGAAATTATGTTTGGAGCTGTAAATATGTGAATAGAACTAACAATGCACCAATACAGCACTGTCTAAAAGATTCCAGGCAGGCCATTCACTCAACTTATAACTGTATTGCAAGATAGAATGTCATCAATACCATTCACGGGACAAAATTCTATATGAGAATTGTCATTCTGAACAAGAAGCGGTAACTCCAAAAGAATTAGTCATCTGATAGGAAGCCTTCCTTTCTACTCTCTCCCAAGAGCTCTCTGTAGCATTCCTGTAGCCACCTGGAATCCACATTCAGATCAGCAAGGCAAGACCTCCTTATGCAGATCAGAGAGGCAAGACCCCCTTACACGACTGTGGCCACTTTTACTCCAGAAACAAATTCATTTAGGCTGACCTAAAAGGTGACCTTTTTAATCCATGTTCTCTGCTGATCTCCTCCACTTCCTCCCAGTTTTTCTTTCTTTAATTCAGTATTTTTTCTCCTCACCTTTCTCTTCTTCATTGTCCTCCTTCTCTTAAGGTATGCTATTCCCCAGGATTATTTCCACGAGGTGACTAATGTCATATTGTGTGATGCTTCTTAGTTACCATTTCAGAAAGTGACATTTTTCAACCCTGTCTCCAAATTCTGAGGATTGGTGCTATTTAGAAATGTATAGCCCCTTAAGCCTTAAATATTCTATATTTGATGGCCCTAAATCATCCTTTCTTGTCCTTCTGAATCAGAATGAGTCAGAAGTTGGATAAAATATCAATGTCAAAAACAACTTTAGAAAAAGTAAGGAATCCAAAGAAAGGTTTGATGTGAAGAAAAACATAAACAATGAGACAATCACCTGCAGGAACTCCCACTACACAGACACCTAGGATACACGGACTCTTTGGGAAAGTATACTACAGACAGCATACTGAAAGTATAAAGAAATAACTATTCTGGGTGAATAGCTACAATGGCACTGATCTGTAGTCTTTCCCCCATAAATCCTAGAATTTTTACTTTTTCTTAGCACTCTAGTACTCCTATTAATTCATTTGCAAACTTTCCACTTTTATTGAGCCCCAGTCTTTTGGGCTAAAAATATTTGGGCTGATTTTGCCCCTGGAATATAAAAGTAGATGTTACATTTAAAGTTCAGAAGAATAGTCCACTGAACTTTCTATGCTTCATTTGAGAGGACAGTGTTGATGCTGACTCTTTAACAAACTTGGCAAGGTATGTTTAAGAAGTAATTCTAATTTTTATTTGTATTGTATAAAAGACAATGTGATCAAGTGAGAAGGTCATGTAGAATACGAGAGATTTCTGTGTTCTAGGTTGAGCTTTCTAACTATCTAGGATTAAGTTGGTTAAGTCATTTCACCTCTCTGGCTTCAGTTTTCTCACCTGTATTTAGTACATAGAAGGTGTTCTGTAAATATTTGTTGAGTGAATGAATTAGTAATAGATACTACTTTGTAAGATTATCATAAAGAGCTAGACTTTAAGCTCCTAGTGGAGTAAGCAGTCATGGCTATCTTGGTTACCACTGTATTCCCCAGCACATTCCCAGGTGTATAGCAGAATCTCATCAAAAACATGGTGAATTCCCCATGCTCTCACTTACAAGTGGGAGCTGAACAATGAGAACACCTGGACACAGGGAGGGGAACAACACACACTGGGGCCTGTCAGGGAGTTAATGGAGGGAGAGTATCAGGATAAATAGCTGATGGATGCTGGGCTTAATACCTAGGTGATGGGTTGATAGGTGCAGCAAACCACCACAGCACACATTTACCTATGTGACAAACATGCACATCCTGCACATATATCCTGGAACTTAAAATAAAATCAAATTTAAAAAAACATGGTGAATTAATGAGTAAATGCACAAATTAATAAATTTTATAATAGTTTCCCTATTTTACGAAGTTATTAAGAATAACTTGATTTTAGGTTCCCTGTGAAGACAAACCATGTTGATTATATTTACCACTGTTTCTCCAATGCCTGACAACACTCTGGCATTTGTGGATGTTCAATAAGCAATTTTTAATTAATGAATGCTCAGTAAAAATAGATGTAAAATTACTTCAAAAAGTACTAACTACAAATACCAACAGCAGGCATTAAGAGTCTGTTTCCCCCACATGCCAACACCAATAATCCCTGTAGAGAGATGACTGGCCTGAGATAGGTGTCATCTCTATCGGCTGAAACAATTTACTCCAAAGAACATGAGGCATAATGATTTAGAAGAGGATGAGGCAGAATCTGCTAACTCACAGCTGGCTCTCAGGCTGGAAACAGCCCCATGGTAAAGCTCAATACAGTCCAAGGATATACAGTGGCAGTAGTTACCTTTCTAAGGAACATAATCCAGATGGTATTCATTTCCAGATCCAAGTAACAGAAAATCCTGACTTAGTGGGGCCAGACCACAAAGAACATGTACTATCTCAGATTGCAAGAAGCAGACCAGCTTCAAGTGGGTAAAGTCCGGGGCTCAACATCATTATCAATGAGCCAGGTTATTTTCTTCTTTCAGCTCTGCCATTCCCTGGGATGTGCCCAGCTGGTTACTCTGAGTTTAAAAATGTCTGTCACATGGGCGCCTGTAGTCCCAGCTACTCGGGAGGCTGAGGCAGGAGAATGGCGTGAACCCAGGAGGCTAGAGCTTGCAGTGAGCTGAGATCGCGCCACTGCACTCCAGCCTGGGCAACAGAGCGAGATTCTGTCTCAAAAAAAAAAAAAGTCTGTCACAGACGCAGACATTACTGGATGACGCATGTAGTCGAAGAAGAGGGGGTAAGTTTTTCCTGTAACTCATTTTTATCAGCAAAGAAACCATCTCAGGAGCTTCCCAGGTGAGCTCTCCTCAGATCCCACTGGCTGGAACTATGTCACATTTCCATTCCTAAACCAATCAGCAACAAGCAAATGAAACTATTAAAATTGGCTTAGACGTGTCAGGATTTATCCCTAGACCAGAAGATAGAGGGAATCTTCCATGAGATTTATGGGAGAGGGAGGTGGCAATCAGGAAGAAGAAGCTGTAGGAATCTGGCAATTAGATAAGCAAAATTGTCTGCTACAGAGATAAAATATTTGTGCTTTCAAAAGTGTCATTTAATGAATCTAATTAAGATTTTATGGGTCTAACACACGTACGTGTATGTTCATCACAGTGCTTTTCACAATAGCAAAGACATGGAATCAACCTAGGTGCCCATAAAAGGTAGATTGGATAATGAAAATGTAGTACATATACACCATGGACTACCATGCAGCCATAAAAAAGAATGAAATCGGTCAAGAGCTCTAGACCATCCTGGCCAATATGGTGAAACCCCGTCTCTACTAAAAATACAAAAATTAGCTGGGCGTAGTGGCATGCATCTGTAGTCCCAGCTACTTCAGAGGCTTGAAGAATCGCTTGAACCCGGGAGGCGGAGCTTGCAGTGAGCGGAGATCGCGCCACTGCACTCCAGCCTGGCGACAGAGCAAGACTCCGTCTCAAAAAAAAAAAGAATGAAATCATGTCCTTCACAACAACACGGATGCACCTGGAGGTTATTATCCTAAGCAAACTAATGCAAAAATTGAAAACCTAATATTGCATGTTCTCACTTGAGTGGTAGATAAATCTTGGGTTCACATGGACATAAAGATGGGAACAATAGACACTGGGGACTCCAAAAGGAGCGACAGAGAGAGAGACAAGGGCTGTAAAACTTCCTATTGAGTTCTATGTTCACTATCTGGGTGACGGGATCAATAGAAGCCCAACCTCAGCACCACACCAATATGCCCTCATAACAAACCTGCACATCTACTTCCTGACATCTAAAATGAAAACGGGGGTGAAAATTTCCTTTCTCGACACTTTCATAAGAAAACACCAAGTTAATCAAATTTCCCACCCTCTTGATATAACTAAATGTTCCCTGTGGATTCCAGTCCACTTTAATCTAAAAGGATATTAAAGAGGTAAGCACATTTTCTGCAATCTTACAAAGCCATTTAGCAATAAAAATTTGTGCTGAAGTGGGAAACTCATATAAAAGAGTTCATTTTTGATATGAAAAAGAATAATTTCATTACTTGCATAGAGAATATGATTTTCAAATTCTTGAAATTATAGTATAAAACATAAACCCTAAGGGGCCAAACATTATATTCCTGATAGACAATTACAGCATTAAACTTCCATCCATATGATAACATTTATATCTTTGGTGACAATCCATTTTCTTTTCCAATTAATCTGTATTCCCCTATCACACATATAAAAAAAGATGCTGTTGGTCTAAGACTTCAAAAATTGACATTTCGTCTTCAATAAAAACCCAGAGGAAGGCAGCTAAAAAAGTTCTACAGTATTAAACTTTTCCAGTGGATAAAATGCTCAACAATGGATGTTGCTTCCATTTATAAGTCACACCTACTCCAGTAGCTCTCAAATATTGTTGCCTTTGAGCCACAGTAAATAAATATATATCTCACAACCCTACACATACACATACACGTCAAACCTTCAAGGAAACAACATTGGCCCGTACTACTTTTGAATCATACTTCTGTGTTCTATCCTATACTGTTTCACTTTTTTTACCTGCTCATCCCAACCTAGTAAATTGATTTCAGGATCCAATAACGGGATACAACCCTCTGTTTAAAAAACATCACTTATTCAAGCCTCTGGAAAATCTCACTATTCTTTTTTATAATATAAACAACATGACATGGCATTATTTATGAAATGCAATCACAATACTATTTCATTTAATCCCGTGGGAATCATTATTAACTTCATTTTATAGCTGAGAAAACAGACAGTATAAGTGATTTGTCAGGACCACACAGCCAGTGAGTGCTGGAGGTTAGAACAGCGGGATGTGGCAGACCTCAAAAGTCAGAGTCCTGATTTGAAATAGATGTTTTAAAAGAAAAAAAAATAGATACGATATTTACTGCAGTAAAGTCTTTAGGTTTCTTCAATTGGCAGCTGTAAAAATAAAAGCATAATTCTCACACTGGTCTAATTAAAAACGGCCAAGTACAATTGTTCATGGCTAATTACCTCTGTCAGACCAAATGGAGAGTCATACAATTCATGAGACAGTCCATTAGACCTAATTAAGGGAAATTATTTCGAGACGACTCTGAGGCAATATTAGAGGATGTTTTATGCTAAGATTTCTAAAATGTTTTGTAGCAAATACAGCTTATGAACCAAAGGAGAAACCACAAAACTGCAACTCTGATCTAGAGCGATTCAAACACTCAGTCTGCCCCATCCTCTCTTCTCCCCTAACTCCAGGGAGGGGTTGGCCCTAAAGATTTTCTGTCAGTCATCGAAGTGTCTTTTCTGTATGACATTAAAGTTATTATTTGTACTATTAAATAGTAAGCAGGAAAATTCCTTTGAGCTCCACGTGTAACATTTACTCTTCTAGACAAAGGGCAAAACCACCTAAAGAATTGTCAGCCCGAAGACACAAAGATGAACAATGAACTCTCTGCTTCTCAGTTTAGACAACAGAGGCACTGCAGGCCAAATTCACATCATGACACATGACACACAAACGTTCTCTTCAATCTCCTTTAAAAGAAAATAGAGCAGAGGCTTTCTTGCATCTCCCTTTGACTGGCGGGGAGACATTCAATAACGCCTTGCTCCATCCCTGTACTACCCAGCTTTCGAAGTGTCACAGGTGAGAAAGTTAACCAGTGAAGGACAACCGAGCAGCTGTGGGAAACAGAGAGGAGAGGAAGCAGGGGCCGGGGATAAACAATTGCAGGGTCACTGGAACGTTGTCCTCCATCCACTCTGACAGATGAAAGGCTGACAGGCCCACTATTTGTGGTACAGAGGTCACAATGCCCCATGATTAACTGTGCCGAAAGCGTACTTAAATCCGAGATGTCCTGCACAAATAGGAAAGCATTGTCCTCACTCACCTCAGTGGAGGCTGTCAGATGCCCAAACTATTCTGGCTTCCTTGTCTCAGTAATACTTTTCAAAAACCCATGAAACTCAAAGGGATCTGAATCCACAAGATCATATTTTTCAGAACCAAATACCAGAACTTGAAGTCCATCAAAGGTGTGTTGTTGTTTTATTTTTTATTTGCATGAAAAGTTGTGTATGACTACGTAACCAAGTTGCATTGGTATAGATTCTAAAAATCACTTATATTAAATAGAATAAAATCACATGAGGTAGATGCTGCCCTAGAAAACCCAGGGTATGCAGCCTTCAGGAAATCAAAATAGTAAAAGTATTGCAGATTTGCCTCTGTGAAGTTTGGTAGAGACCATTTCTACTCCCCACAACAGTAGAACATTCAAAACAGGATCATATACATTGAAAAAAAAGGAACCTTCATTTAGACATTTCCCTGACTCCCCCATTAAAACACAGACTCTATGGAGACAAATAAAATGTCGATTTCTCTGATAACTTTCTCACAAGATTTATAGTGCTTTATATATGCTATAGACAATACTAATATGTGTTTATTTGATGCATTGTTTGAGACTGTGGTAGAATCTTTACCAGAGAAAGAACAAATTTTTACAAGTTTGAGTTTATATTTGGGTTACAAATCTAGAAAATTTACTCTGTGGGAAGGGAAATATATTCACCCATCATTCTGTGAGCTGTCCTTGTCAGCATGTCAATATAATCAGCTCCCCTGGCTCATCTAGAAAAGTCAGTAAGTCTGGGATCACAAAGAACAAGAATCCCAAGAGGGACTCAGGTACCCCACTGGAAATTAGAGAGTACATAAAGAAATAATCAATTAGACAGTGAAGCTGTGAAGCAGAAAGGACACTCTATACTCCCAGTCCGTGGCGTCCTGTGAGACCAGTAAAACCACAAGAGCCCGGCCGGGCGCGGTGGCTCACGCCTGTAATCCCAGCACTTTGGGAGGCCGAGGCGGGCGGATCACGAGGTCAGGAGATAGAGACCATCCTGGCTAACAATGTGAAACCCCGTCTCTACTGAAAATACAAAAAATTAGTCGGGCGTGGTGGTGGCCGCCTGTAGTCCCAGCTACTCGGGAGGCTGAGGCAGGAGAATGGCGTGAACCCCGGAGGTGGGGCTTGCAGTGAGCCGAAATCACGCCACTGCACTCCAGCCTGGGCGACAGAGCGAGACTCTGTCTCAAAAAAAAAAAAAAAAACAAAAAAAAAAACCCACACACTCAAGAGCCTAAGATGGAACCTCTCCCTCAGGTAGCCATGCCAAGTAGGCTAACTTAGGGATAGATAACTACCAGAACTCCACTCCTGTGGGTGCCCAGAGCCATGGGAGCTCTATCTACTTCATGAACTCCTTTGGGTAAGCCTGCCCACAGAATGACCTTGCACCAGTAAAGGCAGTTTGGGGAGTACCAACCCTAGAGATGCTAGTACCTAGAAAGGGTATAGTATCCAAGGGAGATCCTGGTTCCTGTGATCTTAGGAACATGCAAGAGTTTTGTGTCCTGGGACTAAGAGGGCTAAGAAATCAGAGTCTCTCATAAACTTTCTAACACTCAGAAGTGTCGATACTATTGACAAACATGCACTACAGTCCAGGTAACGTTACAATCATTGTGTTACTATTAATGCATTTAGTCATCACAACTACTCTCTGAGGACAGTAATCATTATTATGTCCATTTTACAGATGAGGACACCGAAGTTTCTCAAGAGTAAATAAATTACTCAAGTTCACAAAACTATGGTAGAACCAGAGGCCCAACCCAGGAAGTCTGTCCACAGACCTGAGGCTCTTAATCATGACTTTCTACATCTACATGTGCAGTATACATGTGTACATGTGTGTGTCTGTGTGTGTGTGTTACGATGATATTCAATCCACACATTGTCATAGAAACTGAATTGTCCTAAGGCATATACTTTTAGCAGCAGTACCTAACATTCACAAAAAGAATGGTAAGCATGATAAAAAAGAAAAAATAACAGGTCAAAGAATTGCCAAACCTACAGTGCAGATTAAAGAAATTCCCCTACAGATTCAGTGGGTCTCCAGAGGATTTGGTCTATCCAATAAACAAAATGCTTTCCCCCAGAGGAGTCATTCACATTAATAACCGTGAGCATGGAGTAGAATTTTACTTGGCTGGACTTTGTCTATTGAATACTTCACTTAATGCTGTGGATCAGACCAAGGAACAAAAATGAATTTCAGCTTTGTTGAAATCAGATCCCCAATTTCCTTGGTTGTCAATGTGATTAATAGGAGACCCAAATCACCTTAATAGAGAAGCAACACTCTCTACCCTCATCCTGATGCTGAGTGAGGAGGGGGCATCACTGAAGTAGGTAAGGATGGAGCAGATGTCTGGGTACCGGCAGTGTCTTTCCCTTTTGTGTACCACTGTGCCCTGCTTCAAAGCCATAAACAAACTGAGCAGAAAGGCTCAAGATAAATGACCTGATACCATTTAATGCCTTCAGGGAGATGGATGCCTAAATCCATGAGATCCATAATTTTTGGCTACATCTTTTGCATTTCCAGGGACAAAGCTTCCATGTTGTCCTTGGGTACCCCCATCTAAGCGTTTTACAACACCAATAGTAAAACAATTCTACTTTCTGCCCAAGCGTAACATTTAGTTTAAATTAAATCCATTTCCTTTGAATGTTCCATGAGCTTAGAAAACTGTTTTGCGCCCTCATAGTAATACCTATTACTGCAGGCAAAGCAATATTGTTTCTTTGCACTTTTCATTATGTATCATTTTTGTTATATTTCTTGGGGATTTCTCTAAGCTTCTTGTGTTTAATTTTGGGGTTTTTTTTCCTTTGCTCCATATTAAAATATTTTTTAAATCATATTGAAATAATACATGTTTATGGTGGAAAATTGAGAAATATGAAAAATCCCAAAGGAGAAATTTTTCAAAACCCATAATCCTGCTTCTCAGAGCTAATAACTATTTTGACGTATATCTTCCAGTCTCATAAGCCAATGCACATATGTGCTTTGGAGACTATTTTCCCTGTCACTAATTATTACCCCTACAGGGTAGGCATCTTCAACCTGAGTCTGTGTATAGACTTTACATAGTCCATGAAATTATACACAAAATTACAGACAAAATTTTATGTAGGTACGTATGTGCTTTCTTCCCAAGAAGGCAGTTGACTGCTTTCACCAGATGCCCAAAAGGGTGTATGAACTGAAAACAGTTAAAAATTCTTATTTAGCATCATGATTTTAATAGCCATATAACATTCTACCTTTTCTTTTTTCTTTTTTTTCTTTTTTTTTTTTTTTGAGACAGAGTCTCACTCTGTCCCAGGCTGGAGTGCAGTGGTGCGATCTCAGCTCACTGCAACCTCCGCCTCCCAGGTTCAAGCGATTCTCCTCCCTCAGCCTCCCGAGTAGCTAGGACTACAGGCACGGGCCACCATGCCCAGCTAATTTTTGTATTTTTAGTAGAGACAGGGCTTCACAGTGTTGGCCAGGATGGTCTCGATATCCTGACCTCATGATCCATCCACCTTGGCCTCCCAAAGGGCTGGTATTACAAGCCTGAGCCACCGTGCCTAGCCAACGTTTTACCATATTACCCGATCTTGCTATATAAATTATATTGCAATAAACACTTTGTAGCTAAATTTTGCATCTGTCTCCAGTGATTTCTTTTGAGAAAAAAAAATACTGAAATTGGAATTGCTCCAAGAATATTCACAGCTAAAGGTTTTTAATACATGTTGTCAAATTGCCTTGTAGAAAGGTGGTATCATTAGGAGTTCCATCAGAAGTATATGAAAATATACTTGCTTCAAACTAGCACTAACACAGAGGATTATTTTTTTTTTTTTTTTTTTTTTTTTTTGAGACGGAGTTTCGCTCTGTCGCCCAGGCTGGAGTGCAGTGGCGCGATCTCGACTCACTGCAAGCTCCGCCTCCCGGGTTCACGCCATTCTCCTGCCTCAGCCTCCCGTGTAGCTGGGACTACAGGCACGCGCCACCATGCCCGGCTAATTTTTGTATTTTTAGTAGAGACGGGGTTTCACCGTGTTAGCCAGGATGGTCTCTATCTCCTGACCTCGTGATCCGCCCGTCTCGGCCTCCCAAAGTGCTGGGATTACAGGCGTGAGCCACCGCGCCCGGCCGGATTATTTTTTAACTTTGCCAATTTTATTGGCTAAACTAAAATACTAATATTTGAGACTTTTTCTTTTTAAGTTCAGGGAGCAATATTATTTGTAGCACAGTCATGGCTGATGTACTCAGAGCATAGAGGAAGAATTACATCTGCCCTGGATGGTCTTAGCTTTATTCCCCCACAATGACATGATATTGCTGATTCATGATCAGCAATGATCATGATCGTTGATCATAGATCAGCCCTGACCCACAGGTCTTTTAAAGCAGTGATGGTGGCTAGCCAATTCTATAATTATTTTTATGGTTTATATAAGTCCTTACTCTCACCCTTATATAATTGGATTTCATCCTGTTTGCCTAGGGTTGTGCTTCCTATTTAATAATATCACACTGGTCTGTTTGATGTTACATCACCTATAGGCTAAATAAGCACACCTTCAACACCTTTAGTCAAGACGTCAATGATTCCAAGGGCGATAAGACCACTTGACATTTGCCCCTCACATTGATACCAGGTCATTGGAAACTACGCTTCTGGGAGAATCATCAGGGAAATGTTCTACTTGCCTAATCACAGAAACTCTACAACTAGACTCTGGCTAAACAGAACATAAATTATACTGAAATCAATAAAGACAGGGTGAGCAAAAAGCCTTTGTCATGATTAAGAGTGTATGCACTTGCAGTTACATATCTGGGTTAAATGCCAACTCCTCCATTTGCTGTCTATATAACCCTAGGCAACTACTTCCACATGTCTAAGCTTTTCACACATAAAACAGATTTATAGGCCAGACACAGTGGCTCACACTTGTAATCCCAACACTTTGGGAGGCTGAGGCAGAAGGATTGCTTGAGCCCAGGAGTTTGAGGCCACCCTGGGCAACATAGTGAGATCCCATCTCAATAAAAAATAAAAAATTAGCCAGGAATAGTGGTGCATGCCTGTAGTCATACTCAGGATGTTGGGTTGGGAGGATCACTTGAGCCTTGGAGGTGGAGGCTACAGTGAGCCATAATTGCACCACTACACTCCAGCCTAAACAACAGAGTGAGACCCTGTCTCAAAAAAACAAAAACAAAAACAAAACAGATTTATAAAGAAATTTGCCTGGCATGGTTGCATGCTCCTGTGGTCCCAGCTACTCAAGAGGCTGAGGTGGGAGGATTGCTTGAGCCCAGGAGTTCAAGGTTGTAGCGAGTTATGATCATGCTACTGTACCCCACCTCTAAAAAATAATATTTTAAAAATAATAAAAAGAAACTTGTTTGGTGAATATGTCAAGAGCATGCCTTCATGTTGGTTGCTGTGAAGTTGCAATATTCTTTCTACACAGTATTTTGCAGACTCCCCTATATAAATCAGTAACCACCACCTCCATACCACACACTCTCTGTCTCCCTTATCATGCCTTATTTTTTTCTCCATTGCATGTCTAATCATCTGACATATGACATATTTACTTGTTTGTTTTTTATCTGGCTTCTCTCACTAGAACATAAGCCCCACGAGAGCAAACATTTTCCATTTGCTTCCTGCCTTAGTGCTAGCACATTGGGGAATAAATGGATAGTTTCATTCTGAGGATGGAATGATTCAGTCTGTCTACAGCAGTGTATTAGTTTCTTAGGGTTGCCATAATAAAGCACCACTAACTGGGTGGCTTAAACAGCAGAAATGGATTGTCTCACAGTTCTAGAGGCCAGAAGTCCAAGGTGTCAACAAGACTGATTCCTTCTGAGGGCTGTGAGGGAGAATCTTCCACACATCTCTTCTAGCTTCTGGTGGTTTGCCGGCAATCTTTTGTGCTCTGGATTTGCAGACACATCACCCCAATCTCTGCCTTCATCTTTACTTGGCACTATCCCTGTGTGTTTGTCTGTCTCTATGTCCAAATTTCCTCTTTTTTTAAGAAGACAATTATATTGGATTAAAGCCAGTCCTAATGACATCATTTTAACTTGATCATCCATAAAGACCTGCTATGGTTTGGATATTGCTTGTCCCCATGTAGAAATTTGATCCCCAATATGGTGGTGTTGGGAGGTGGGACTTAGCGGCAGGTGTTTGGGTAAGGAGGGTCAGATCCCTCATGAATGAATGGCGTGGTGCCATTCTTGAGGTAGTCAGTAAGTTCTCACACTCTTGAGACTGGATTAGTTCTCTGTAGAATGAATTCATTCCCACAGGAGTAGCTTGTTAAAAAGAGTTTGGTTTCCCCAGTTTTTCTCTCTTGCTCCCTTTCTTGCCATGTAACCTCTTTGCATGCGCCTACCCTTCTGCTTTCCACCATGAGTGGAAGCAGCACAAAACCCCTAACCAGTAGCAGAGCAGATGCCAGTGCTTTGCCCCTTGAACTTCCCAGCCTATAGAACTGTGAGCTAAAGAAATCTATTTTCTTTATAAACCACTCAGTCTTAGGTATTCTGTTATAGCAATACAAACAGACTAAGACAATCCTATTTCCAAATAAAGCCACAGCCCCTGGGAATCAGGACTTCAACATTTTGGGGGTGTACACAATTCAACCCATAGCAAGCAGATAGCACAGTGCCTGGCACTCTGTTGGCACTCAACTATTAGCTCTTCTCATTTGTTCATGCAATGGGATCATTATCTCACAGAGAAAATTAATTGGGTCTGGCATGACAGGTTCTCGCAAGTCACTATGACATAAACTTACTCTGAGGAGACATTAACCAAATTTGCTACCCATCTCATGCCTTTGACTCTGAATAACAACCAACAGGGAGGAGGAGCCACAATGAAATCAAAGTCTTCGCAATCATTGCATTCTTACCCATTATTTTATAGCCAAGAAAGAAGAGCTCAAAAGGTAATTACTTATCCAAGGTTAAAGCAAAAGCAGAACTAGAACCTCGGCTTTCTCACTCCTGGATCCTTTCTTCCTTTATATAAATCTATCTATATATATTTAAAATTATCATGATGGACACATTTTAAAATGGGCTGATTATAGAAATAGGTAGTTCATAGATTAGTCTGAATGATTAACACCAAATAGAAAAAAAAATAACTAGAAAAATAAATCTCCAAATCAAGAACCAAAAGAAAAATAAATAAATAAATTGAGATATTTTTGGCCAAAATAAACTACTGCATTTCATCAAATCTAAGATTCCATCTATTATAAGACACACCATTATTTTAGCTACCAAAAAAGAAAAAACAGTACTACTGATCAATGCATGGCCTATATCTATGATAAGAAAGAATTTGCCTCCCAAATTTTGAGGTGTTAAAGTATGAAAATGTATGAGTCTCAAAAGCTACAAAACACGGTAAAATTACTCCTTAGAAATTGGGCCAAATCTTTCATTTATATAAAGCGTCTTTCCCAGACTGGCTAATGATAATGCTGCTGATAGAAGAACAGGTAAAACAGATTTTGAAACACACAGCTATATTAATCAAGACCCCCCCTTAAGCAATTGAAGACAGTCAGATATTCTCCTAATGTTTCTACCAAACCAAACATGTGTTTTGTACCTCCAGGGACAAGAAGAAACCAGCAGGAGAGAACATTTGGATCAAAGAGATGAGAGTGGAGAAGAGAGGAACACAGAGTGATTCTCTGCCAAAGCAAACATATATAGGCAGAGGGAAGTGAGGGAATGACATTTCCTTAGTAGATTCTCTAAAGTAAAAATACAAAGAATTCATCTGGAGCTGAAACAACAGCTGTAGGGTCTTGATGAGCCCCATGTGAGGGCGAGGAACCTGTGAAGTTTGCTTTCACTGTCTCTATCCTGGCAGAAGACCAGAGCTGCCTCTGGCTGGTATTTACAAAGAACTGGTGAGGAGCCAGCTGGCTGCTGGAGGCATGTTTCCGTATCATTCCTCACATGCAAAATGCTCTGCAGCTGGAAAAGAGTCACAATGGCTGCAGCCAATCAAGCCTAGGCAATATGTCCAGCCTTTCCTCCCTTTGTCCCCTCAACCCCTTCCTCAAGAGAACACAATTGGCAAAAATCCAGCAGTGTCCAATGAGGAAGGGACTGAGGAGGCCATGGGAGGATGGTTAAGCTAGCAGAGACAACTTGCTGTGATTGTCATTCACTAAATATTTACTCAACATCTACTATGTTCTGGGTCCTTGGGATACTGATAAACAAGACAGCATGTATATTCTGGTATTTTTGATTTGGAAAAATTTTGTGCCCTTGGCTCTTCACATCAACTTCCAGTGGTGAGGGAAGGAAATTGCCACTGCTTGTCCCTTTGTTCAGTCTCTTCAACGGGTTCACATTCTCCCACCTGCTCTCAGGAACAGCCATGGGAATACTGGCTCGGCAAGGCAACTCAGGAAATCTAACAGCCCTGCTAAGCGAAGAATTTAGTATTTCATCATAAACTTGAAAAATCTAGGAGTGCCTCATAGGAGAAAAAGGAAGGAGGAAAGAGGGACGTGATTGAGATTAACAAGAAACAGTATGGCCTCAGCCTCCAACCATGTGCTGAATAAGTTAGTGCAATTATCTTGGGAGGGTAAACACTGATGGCCATTCAAGCTGACAGTGGGAGCCGGACAGTTGACATTTACAACAATGCTCAATGCAAATCAAGGCACTTGCCCCAGAAATGGAATTTCATAGATTTATTCTTTGAAAGGCCATTTCTTTCACTAGTCTGGGTCAGCAGTTAAGCTGAAAGAGAAATATTTCTATCATTTGGCAAATTTTTTTCCAAAGCATCTAGTTGATTAGGCAAGAGAGGCCTTTAAAAAGTCTGATTTCTTGTGTGGTTGTCAGGCAAACAGAATGAGAAAATATCAAACAGCAATCCCATTTCCAGAAATGATTAAAACAAATATTTCCTCTGAAGTCCCTGGTGCTCTGCGTGGTGATGGGGGACCTCACAGCCCAGGTGTTCTGGAGCCGTTCCAGCCCTGCAAATATCATTTTAACATGCTCCCATAACTCTCAAGTCTTCACCTTGAATAAGCTAAACTTTCCATGCCCCTGCTGCCTGCTGTTCCACAGAAATTGATTAAAACCCAGAGCTGTCATTCACAAGTTGGGTGACCTTGAAAAGTCAGAAAGCCTCAAGCAAAGCCTCAGCACTTTGTAACTGCTGTTCCCTTCACCTATATAGTGGTGACCCCCACAACCATCTGCTACTCTCAGATGCATGAACCTATTTATTTGCCTCACAGCACTCAAAATAATACTTGAAATTATCTCACTATGGGTTTGCTTATTTATCACAGTCAGCTTCCTGAGCACAGAGACAATACCTGCTTTATGTATCTCTGAATCCTTGGCGCTTAAAATGATTCCTAGCACCTAGTAGATGCTCAATAAATATCTGTTAAATAAATAAAAATCATTCCAATTATTTGAGCCAAAGTTTTATGATAATAATAATAAAAGTTAACACCTATCTGGTAGGGTTGTTTTAAAGATCAGGTGAGATCATGTTAACAAAAGCAGAGCCCAACACATTAACAGGTACTCAAGATATATTAATTTAAATACACACACACACACACACACACACACACACACACACACAGAGTCATGTGCTGCATAACAATGTTTTGGTCAGTGACAGACTACATATATGGCAGTGGTCCCGTAAGATTTAATGGGCCATGCACAGTGGGTCATTCTTGTAATCCCAACACTTTGGGAGGCTGAGGCAAGAGGATTCCTTGAGGCCAGGAATTCCAGACCAGCCTGGGCAACATAGCAAGACCCTGTTTCTACAAAAAATTAAAAAATTATCCAGGTGTGGTGGCACATGCCTGTAGTCCTATCTACTCAGGAGGCTAAGGCAGGATCGCTTGAGCCCAGGAATTCAAAGTTAAAATGAGCTATGATTGTGTACTGCACTCCAGCCTGGGCAAGAGATTGAGAGCCTGTCTCAAATTAAAAATTTTAAAAATAAAAATAAAGATTATAATGGAGTTGAAAATTTTCTATTGCCTAGTGATATCACAGCACAACTTATTATTCATGTGTTTGTGATGATGCTGCTATAAACAAACCTATTGCACTGCCAGTTGTATAAAACTATACCACATATAGCTGGGCATGGTGGCTCACACCTTCAATCTCAGCATTTTGGGAGGTTGGGGCAGGCAGATCACTTGAGGTCAGGAGTTTGAGACCAGCCTGGCCAACATGGTGAAACCCTGTCTCTACTAAAAATGCAAAAATTAGCCAGACGTGGTGGCAGGTGCCTTAATCCCAGCTACTCGGGAGGCTAAGGCAAGAGAATCACTTGAACCCAGAAGGCAGAGGTCACAGTGAGCCAAGATCACACCGCTGCACTCTAGCCTGGATGACAGAGCAAGACTCCATCTCAAAAAAAAAAAGTATACCACATACAATTATGTACAGTACATAATACTGATAAAGATAATAAATGACTATATGTTAATGGTTACTTTAGAGTATACTCCTACTTATTTAAAGAAAAAGTTAACTGTAAAACATCCTAAGGCAGGTCCTTTAGGAGGTATTATATTTCAGAAGCAGGCATTGTTATCATAGGACATAACAGCTCCATGTGTGTTATTGCCCATGAAGACCTCCCAGTGGGACAAGATGTGGAGGTTGGAAGACAATGATACTGATGATCCTGACCCTGTGTGGGCCTAGGCTAATGTGTGTTTGTGTCTTCTTTTTTAACATAAAAGTTTAAAAAGTAAAAATAAATTTTAAAAAGCTTATAGAATAAGAATATAAGGAAAGAAAATATCTTTGTACAGCTGTACAAGGTGTTTGTGTTTTAAGTGTTATTTCAAGAGTTAAAAGGTTTTTAAAAATTTTTTAAGTTTATGAAGTAAAAAAGTTACAGTAAGCTAAGGTTAATTATTATTAAAGAAAGAAAATATTTGTATAAATTTAGTGTAGCCTAAGCGTACAGTGTTTACAAAATCTACAGTAGTGTACAGTAATGTCCTAGGCTTTCACATTCACTCATTCACTCACCACTCACTAACTCACCTAGAGAAACTTCCAGTCCTGCAAGCTTTATTCATAGTACATGTCCTATACAGGTGTAGCTTTTTTTTTTTTTTTTTTTTTTTTTTTTGAGATGGAGTCTCTTTCTGTCACCCAGGCTGGAGTGCAATGACGTGATCTCGGCTCACTGCAACCTCTGCCTCCCGGTTTCAAGCAATTCTCTGCCTCAGCCCCCCGAGTAGCTGGGATTACAGGTACCCGTCACCTCGCCTGGCTAATTTTTGTAGTTTTAGTAGAGACGGGGTTTCACCATCTTGCCCAGGCTGGTCTTGAACTCCTGACCTCGTGATCCACCTGCCTCAGTCTCCCCAAATGCTGGGATTACAGGCATGAGCCACCATGCCCAGCTAAGGTATAGCATTTTTTATCTTTTGTACTGTATTTTTACTTTTTAGGTATGCTTTTTATGTTTTGATATGTTTAAATGCACGAATACCATTGTGTTACAACTGCCTACAGTATTCAGCATAGTCACAGGCTGTACAGCTTGGTAGCCTAGGAGTGATAGGCTATACCATAAAGCCTAAGTGTGTAGTAGATTATACCTTGTAGGTTTGTGAAAGTGTACTCTATGATGTTTGGCAATCACAAAATCGCCTAAGGACGCATTTCTCAGAATGTATCCCCATCATTCAGCCATACATGACTTTACATAAAATACATACGCACATTTTTTAAATTAGTGACAATGTACAGATGAATAAGAAACTCATCTCGGCCAGGCATGGTAGCTCATGCCTGTAATCCCAGCACTTTGGGAAGCCAAGGCAGGTAGATCATTTGAGCTTAGGAGTTCGAGACCAGCCTGGCCAATATGGTGAAACCCCATCTTTACTAAAAATGCAAAAATTAGCCAGGCCTGGTGGCACATGCTTGTAGTCTCAGCTCCTCGGGAGGCGGAGGCAGGAGAATCACTTGAACCCAGGAGTCAGAGGTTGCAGTGAACCAAGATTGCACCACTGAACTCCAGCCTGGGCGACAAAATGAGACTCCGTCTCAAAAAAAAAAAAGAAAAGAAACTCATATTAATCTGTGTAACACAAGTTTGCCAAAGCCTTATAAAGCTAAGGGTACACATGGGAGTCAGATCAAGAGTAATTGCACCAATTCATTCACTCTTGTTTCTACCCACACACTTCAGGACCCCTTTCCAGAATTGCTATTTCCTTCAGATTGTTCTGTGAGTCACTAGGCAGTATCAGGTGTTATCAAAAATGCTGTCAATGTGCCCACTCCTTTTTCCTTCCACTCCCTCCCACTTGTGGGAGGCCTAAGCAGAGGTGACTGCGGAAGGCTGCAGCAGGGTGCTGCCCCTGGGCTTACACAGACACCACTCCTGAGGGGCTGCTGTTGTCCAGGTATTCCCGAGCCCTCACTTTGTGGCAGACATGCTGTGCCTAACACAGAAGTGGGAGGATGCACCCAGTGTCCGCTCTGAGCCCAGCCCAAGCCAAAGTAGCTATTTAAAACTCCCTGTGTCTGTAGTTAAGGGCTATTTAAAACTCCCTGTGTCTGTAGTGAGGCCTAGCGTTCTCCTTTCCATTAACCTCTCTGATAGGCCATATGAGCAAATCTGGCAAGCACACAAACATTCATTTTCAAGCAGGTGCAAGAGTCATGGAGTTTGTTCTTCAACTCAATACACTTCAGTGCACTTCTCAGTGCACTGACGATTGTGGCCTCTGAAAAGACTGTTGCCTGCAAATTTCACTAGCAGCATATGGGACAGTGATATGGTTTGGATGGGTGCCCCACCCAAATATCATATTGAAATGTAATTCCCAGTGCTGGAGGTGGGGCCTGGTGGGAGGTGGTTGGATCATGGGGCAAAGTTCTCATGAATGAGAATCATCCCCCCTTGGTTCTTTATACAGAGTGAGTTCTCATGAGATCTGGTTGTTTAGAAAATGTGTAGCACTATCCCCACCCACCCCCCCCATCTTCTCCTATTCTTTCCATATAAGATGCTGGCTCACACTTTGCCTTTCACCACAAGTAAAAGCTACCTGAGGCCTCTCCAAAAGCAGATGCTGCCATGATTTCTGAACGGCCTGCAGAACTGTGAGCAATTAAACCTCTTTTCTTTATAAATTACCCCATCTCAGGTATTTCTTTATAGCAATGCAAAAACAGCTTAATATAGACAGTATTCTGGTAGCAGGCAGGTACAGCTCCCCTCTGGTTAGAATCAAGATAAAATCCTCTATTAAGCACCTGACAAGAGACCCAGTATACCCTAGGTCTAGAACACCAGTTCAAAAGGGAGTCTACTACCTTTGCCAGATTCTTAAATCCTATTCCTGTGATATTGGAGATGCCTGTACAATATTCTACCAATTCACATTTTATGAACAGCTGTTGTTTCAGCAAAAGGAAAATAATTTCTGATATCCTTTACCCCAATTACCATATCCTTCAGGGCTAATCAGAAACAAAGTGCTTGCAGTAAGTAGGTTCTTTCATACACTTATTTTTATTGTTTTATGATTTAAAAATAGGTTTAATTATGGAAATCTCAAATATATTCTAAACTAGAGACTACAGTAATAACCGCCCTTAACCCATCACCCACCTTTGACAATTATCAATCCCAGACCAATCTTGTTCATCTCTATCCAGCTAGTCTTCCTCTCCCCTCATACCCAACCCAAACAATGACTTATTTTGAAGCAAATCCAAACATCACATCATATCATCCACAGATGCATTAGTATGAAGCTCTAAAATATAATATAACCACATCTTAAAATCATTATCACACATTCAAAATTAGCAATATTTTTGTAATAAAAAATGTTTTCAAGTGCAAACCACCCACATTGTATTTCAAATGCTAACTAATTGCCCCAGGGTGTATATGAAAACAAAGTAACATATGGATTACACTGACCAATAAAGTATATTTAACATTCCGTAAATATCCTTTTGTTAAAATTCATATGATATGTCGGTTTGGGGTGGCAGGGTTGGGGGAGTGGGGGTGGGGGCAGGGCAGGGAATGACCAAACCACCTCTTAAGTAATATACATTGTGTTTGGGCACTGGTTCAAGGGAGGAGGGAGGAGAAGAAAGAGTGAAGAGCTCTGTGCCATTGTGCTTTTTAGTGAGGCAAGATTAACCATCATCCCTTATGTCTGTGCGTTTGTTTTATTTATCTGTGTATATAATGTATACAAAGGACAAATGAGTCCTAATTTACAACACCCAGTCTTTCCAGATGTTAAAGAGGTTGTCAGTGTGTGACAAAATTACAATTAGTAAACTAATATATTTTGTATATTTTGTTTTAAAATTCCTGGGAAAGATTCTCTTCTGAAAATCCGAGCATTATAACCCACTGGGTTGAAGGAGATAGGAAGGTTCTAGGCCAGAATGTTCATATTCGAAGGCTCTTTCAAATTATAACTATTGTTATATGTGTGCAGTTTATTGAAGACTGCTGTGTATATAGAGGACAAATTAACTCCTTATCTAAAACATCTAGTCTACCTAGATGTTTAGAAGTGCCCAACATCTATTAAATGTAGAGGTAGTAAAATATCACTTTGTAGATACCTTTTTGCTAAAATTCATAGGAAAGATTGTCTTTTGGAAATGGAATTGTTAAACCACCTCTGTGAGCAATATGGTACTACACCTGTTCAAAGGTTTAGAAGAGGTGGGAAGGAAGGAACTGCAAAGAGTAATGTGCTAGTATGTTCAGTAGTTTCAGGCACCATTTTTTCTGTGTGTTTTGTGCATTTTGTTTTGTTGCATATATAGTGTATATATAATGGACAAATGAGTCCTGATTTTATAATATTTCATCTCTAGATATTAAAGAGGTTGCCAGTATATCACAAAGTATATAGTAAAATTTATTTATTTATTTATTTGTTTGTTTGTTTTTGAGACAGAGTCTTGCTCTGTCGCCCAGGCTGGAGTGCAGTGGCGCGATCACGGCTCACTGCAAACTCTGCCTCTCAGGTTCACACCATTCTCCTGCCTCAGCCTCCTGAGTAGCTGGGACTACAGGCGCCCGCCACCACGCCCGGCTAATTTTTTCTATTTTTTAGTAGAGACGGGGTTTCACCGTGTTAGCCAGGATGGTCTCGATCTCCTGACCTCGTGATCCACCTGCCTCGGCCTCCCAAAGTGCTGGGATTACAGGCATGAGCCACCGCACCAAGCCAAATTTATTTTTTTTTCCAAGATGGAGTCTTCATTCTGTCACGCAGGCTGGAGTACGGTGGTGCGATCTTGGCTCACTGCAACCTCCACCTTCCGGGTTCAAGCAATTCTCCTGCCTCAGCCTCCTGAGTACCTGGGATTACAGGCATGCACCACCATGCCCAACTAATTTTTGTATTTTTAATAGAGACAGGGTTTCCATTAAGTCTGGATACAAATTATGTCCTCAAATTGGTTGAATAAAGTCATATGTCTATTCATTAAGACAGGGGTCACCCAACATTCACGTTTTAAGGAATAGGTTCAATATTAGGTAAATGTCATGGAACTATATAATTTAGCCTTGGGGTCTTTAAAGCCATCTAACTGCGTGTAACACTCCCTTCACTTGCCTCTGAAGATCAGAATATGCTACTCAAAATATGCTACTTTGACATAAGGATTATTTTGAGCTGAAAGCAATTGAGAATCAAAAGATACAGGAAGAGATCTAGTGTCTTCCACTTATCTACCTAAAAGTCTTATCAAAGATGAAGAGTTTGCATAAATAGGCCTTACTAAAATAGCCTTTATCTTCCATTAGTTCCTACCACACACTTCCTACTCACTTCCCCACAATTTATCATACTTTGAAGTCCAAACCTTTTTTCCTTTGTTAAAAGGAAAGGGTCTATAACCACTCAAGTTTAATCACTTCTTTGAGTTTCACTTCTGCTCTGTGAACAGCCAAGCATGTAAATGTTAATAAAATCATGTGCCCTTTCTTTTGTTGATCTGTCTTTTGTTAGTTTAATTTGAAGGTCCCCATATACTGAATATAAGAGGGTAGAGAAAAAATTGTTCCTACCTGACAGCTAGATCCCTGAGCCTGCACATACTCTATATTATGCTATTTCCATCCCTCGTTCTTCTAGCATTCTAAATTCTACAATTGCTTTGTCTCAGGTAGCTTTTCAGTAGCAAAATCCTGAAATACTTTATACTCTGATATGATTAACTAATAATAGCTTAATATATCATCAACCAAAAATGCATTATAAATTAATAAAATTTTGTTAGGAAGAAATACTAGATTTATAACTTGCAATGCACACCAACTTAAAAAAGAAAAAGTGAAAAACTTAAAAAAAAATTTATAAGATTGCCTCTTCCTGAGAAAAACAAAGCCATGTTTAGCCTACGTAATATCTCTCTAATGGTATAATTCCAGGTAGTCTGATTAGGCGGTGGTAAAGATAGTGAGGAGGGAGCTGTTCTAACATCTCACATCATACCCTGTGATGCTACTTCCTGGCCCAGTTCTAGAGTGTGAGCAATTGCTGTTGTTTTCAGACTAGGAAGTAAGCAAAATAATGAGCAGACATATAATTAACTCTCAATTAGCCTCAGTAACTGGGGTCAGGAAATGCTTCACTAGTCAGATATCCTGAGAAATCATATTATTAAAATGCAGTCACTGAAAAGTAGAGAAAAGACTAAGAGGACACCCTCTTTTCACCATGTGAAAAATAAAATTGAGCTAAACTCTTTCTTTTTTTTTTTTTTAAATAAAATCAGATTTGTCTACTCTCTAATAGAAATGCTTACTTGTTTTAATTTTACCCCCCTATCTTTTCACCACTGAATTCCTGGGCAGCTGGGTTAATGACCAAACAGCAGGAGGACAAGAAATCAAGAGGCCTAGATATTCCAGCAACTTAACAATCAAGGCATAACTTACCCATCCCCTTCTCCCTCATGAGTGTTCATTGTTGGGGCTCAGGATATTCCACCCCAAAATACGACTGTAGGAGACCAGAATATGCCATCCCAAAATATACCTCTTTCGCTCATTTTGAGCTGGTTATTCTGAGAAACTGCTAACATAGAAATAGCTCTGAAAAACTGTCCTTTTGTAAAATAAATTTACGTCTATAAAAGAAATTTTTTTATAAAGAAAATCTATAGTAGTAAATTATTGGTACAAGCAAGAAGGCTGCTTTGAGATAATTTTTTTTACCTGAAGATTTTCTATCTGCATAGCAGGACGGTCTTTGTTCACCATGCATTTCCTCCCCTTACCCTCCCCGAGGCTTGTTGCTGGCTCCCCGACCAGAGATCTTGGGTCCCTATTTTTTCTGTAGCTCAGGATGCTAGATAAGCTTCAACCATCTCACTCTTCATGGAGTTCCATATTTTGTGGGAGTCTCATAGTTTTTGGGACTCCCATGCATATATAAATATGTTTTTCTCCTGTTCATCTGTCTTATGTCTAATTTCTAGCCCAGACACGGAACCTAGACAGGTAGGGGGAAGCCTTGTTTCGCTCCCCTACACCAGCCTCTTCCACTGAATGAAAAGTTATAGGGGTTCATCCATTGTGTGTAATGTGCCTCCTCTTTATTCACTTTCTAACTACCACCATCGCAACAATTCAAAGATCTTATGGTAAAGACTGGGATCCTGGGGAAAAGAAGTCAGGAGGCATACTTCTGTCAAAGCCTCCCTCTGATGTCCATACTTAAGGTGAAGTCCTCCCATAATGAGATGTCAGTTTACTTTTCTTTTTAAGTCTGCACATGAAAAAGGAGTCAAACTGGCAGAAAACATATTCAAAGGGCCTTGACTAAGTGTACAGACATGGCCTGTGGCCTATTGGAGGTGGGAGAGATCCCAGCAAGCTGTGGTCCCCCCTCTTGCATTTCTTTGTCCCAGCCATCTCAAATAACAGACTGGAAGAAGAAAAAGGATAACAAGGATAAAAGTAAAAGGTCAGTTTCCAAATAGGACATCAATATATTTTCATAAGCCATTACCAACTCCTGAGTCTGGGGAACCATTATATTGTCTGAGAGGATAAGCAGGCAAGATCTTGGACAGAATAAAGATAAAAACAGCTTCAATGAGCTTTACCCATTGACCTGTCTGATGACAGGTCTTCAGACTACAGGAGGAATTTCTAAAGCTGGATTCAATACAAGAAACGCTATTTCCAAGAAAGGCAAAACCAGCTGCTGATGGAAAAGTATAGCTTAAGTTTATTGGACTTTTTTTGTTTTGCTTTTTTTTCTTTTTTCCCTACAGAGGGTCTATAAATCACTGATCTCTTTGTGCCTTCCTCTGTACAATACAGGGCAGGTTGCCCACAGGGGGAAGAAAAAAAATCCCTCTATCTTTGTCAGACTAAATAGCAGCTCAGGTCTGGGCACCACATACCCAAAAAGGGCCAGGTGGCATGTGGAGCTCTTACAGCCTTTCCAACCATTCCAGTGCCAGCTTCTTATCCTCAGCAATAACCTGAGATGGGCTTCCTGCAGAGCCAGGTGCACATCCAACCATTCTCCTCTCTAGCTGTGAACACCAGCACAGCTTGCATTTCCTATGATACAACCCAGCTCCACAAATTCTAGGGGGTCTAGAGAGACCCTATTCAGATAACTTACTGACCACATAAGCACGTCAGGTGGTCACCCATCCTGCACCCTGCAAACAAGCCAGCTGAGGGACTATAAAAGGAACAGAGATGTCACCAGGAGGCTTATTATTGTGTTTTTAAATTTTATCCTGCCTCAGGCCACGTTTATCCAATGCAATTGGATACCTGATCCAGATAAAACCTTATTCCTCCCAGGGCTCTCTTAAGTGAGAATAAAGCCCCTTCCATCTCCATTGACAACCATTTTCATATGTTCTCGCACCTTCCCAATACATTACAAAAGGATATTTTAAATACGCAGGTGACCTCTTTACCAAAAGCAAGTGGGTAAAAGTTTGGAGCAGTGGCAAGCAGATGGTACAGTTGGTACAAATAGTTATTTAAATTTCTTATTTCAGCTCTTTTATCTAGTAAGTTTTTACTTCCAGCCTACCCAAAATAGGCCCTATGGATTCCCTACCAGTCAGGTGAAGTGGTTTCTCTGGAAATGTAAGCTCAGTGGTAAACTGAGTGATTTAAGATCTTACAAAGAGAGTATATGCTACTTCAAATTCAGCCCAGAAAGCATGAATGCCTTAAAACAATGGCTTCAGATTCTTTGGACCCTCTGTAAGAAATGCATTTTACTAGCCGGGCATGTTGGTGCATTCCTGTAGTCCCAGCTACTCAGGAGGCTGATGTGGGAGGACTGCTTGAGCTGGGGAGGTTGAGGCTGCAGTGAGCCATGTTGGCGCCACTGCACTCCAGCCTGGGTGACGAAGCGAGACTCTGTTTCAAAGACAAGAAAGAAATGCATTTCACATCACACTCAAGTCTACAATCCCACGTGGCTGTGTAACTGAAGCAAGTTTCATGAAACCGTGCTGACTTTTGCTATGCTCTATACAATTTTTTTCCTTAAAAAAAAAAAGAAAAAATGCTGGCCAGGCTTGGTGGCTCACGCCTGTAATCCCAGCACTTTGGGAGGTCAAGGCAAGCGAATCACAAGGTCAGGAGTTCAAGACCAGCCTGGCCAACATGGTGAAACCCAGTCTCTACTAAAAATACAAAAATAAAATTAGCTAGGCACAGCGGCAGGTGCTTGTAATCCTAGCTACTCAGGAGGCTGAGGCAGGAGAATCGCTTGAACTCAGGAGGCAGAGGTTGCAGTGAGCCAAGATTGCACCACTGCACTCCATCCAGGGCAACAGAGTGAGAATCCATCTCAAAAAGAAAAAAAAAAATGCTGCTGCAAGTTGAAGCTCACTGTATTGAGTTTATATCCCACTAATGAATTGAGGTTCACAGTTTTTTAAATCCTGCTTTATGTAATCCCAGCTACTCAGGTGGCTGAGGCAGGAGAATCACTTGAACCCAGGAGGCAGAGGTTGCAGTGACCAGAGATCGTGCCATTGAACTCCAGCCTGGGTGACAGAGCAAGACAGCAGCTAAAAATAAATTTAAAAAAAAAAAATCCTGCTTTAAATTATACTGAGGAAAAACTACTTTAAAACTCCCCGTCTTATTTATCTACTATCTAATGCCTCTCACTAAAAGGATAAACATCACACATTATCAGAAATGTCTTGTTATGTTTTAGGGGTGAGAGAAATGATAACAGGTGGGAGGATAAAAAGTAAATAGTACCAGATGGAAGTACCAGAAGGAAAATAACAAATAAAAACTTTTACAGAGATTGAGGAAATGGCCCCAAAACATCCTAAAAGTTATCTCATAACACGTTGTTCAATAAACAAGGTCTAACAGTCTTTTCTCAGTTCTTCCCAGGCGCTGTGGCAGGCCAATGATGGGGGAGGCTGGAGAGAGAAGTAGCTGGACTTCATGCTGCCTGCATATGCACCACCTCGGACAGACCTTGTACACACAGTTGGGGGGCTGAACAAACGGCCGGGGCTGAGGCTGCCTCTCTGTTCTTGCATCCAGGAGAGGGATGTCCGGGAGTCCAATTGCCAAGCTCTTACACAGTGCGATGGAGAAAGGCCTGAGCTCTCCTCCGTGGCCTTTTCACAGGAGAGGGAAGAGATTCCTACAGTGGAAAAGCAGGCTGGAGCACTGCGAATTTCTCTGGCCATGCCTTGTTTACCCAGCTTTAAAATGATGCAGATAAAAAGCAGAGTCAATAAGGAAAGTGGTTTATATTCAAGGATCTGAATTTTATTATTGGTAAATTGTAATATATCTTACATCCTTGCAGGGATAAAACATTCATAAACCACATTTCCCAGCTCCACCATTCTTCCATTTCCTCTCCTGACAGGAGAGAAGGGAGAGAGGGTGGAGAGGGAGAGAGAAAGTGAGAGAAGAAGGAAAAGGAGAAGGAGGAAGAGAATGAGGATGAGGAAAAGACAAAAAGAAAAAAAAGGAAGGAAGGCAGAAAAAGTACTAAAGCTAGAATCTAATCAGGTCTCCATTTAGTTTAACTCAGAAAATTTTTTCTTCTTTTAAGTGCACATGGGGCCAAAAATGTTTGAAGTCCTAGCTGCTTTTTTTAATGCAAAAAAGATAAAGATAATATACTTTTACTATCACATTGGGGATTAAAAGAAAAAAAGAAAAATATATTAAAAAATAGTAAAACTAATGTAATTTATACTAAAGTGTAAAATGTCATTTTAGTGTCTTTCTAGAAGTGATAAGGAGTAATCAGTGAAAGGTATGAAGATGACCAAACAATCAGATTTTGTCTAAAATAGGACCTGTGAATTTCCTACTCTTTAAATAACTTTCATCAGCCACCCACCCCATTGGCTTAGTTTCTTCCTCTTCTTTGAATCAATCCAAACATCCACAGGTCCCCATAGCTAACATGAGAGTTAATCATTTCTTTTCCCAAATGACTCTAATGTGTTTGGGCTGGGATAGGCAGACCAGTAAGCAGCCAGGATCACAGTAATTTGGCAAGGATGGTAGGCAAAGACTACAAATATTTTCTAGACAATTAAACCTAAAGTGAATTCAACCTCTCTCCATTTAATTCCAAAGGCCTCCAAGCCTTCTATGAATGACATCTTGATGCTCTTGAAGACATCATTTCAACTGATTGCCTTCTCTGTTTCTGTTGCAGGCATACACGTGAGCAGACTCTATTTCACCTCTAGGCAGGCAATGTTTTCAAGCCAATCATGATGAAAGTGCTTAACTTGAGATGAGTCTAAGATAAGTGTTTCTACTCATACCCCATTTTGATCTTTGAAATATAACTTAATGTTTTGTAGGTTATCAGCAGGGCCCACTTTACTGAATTTTCATCTCCCAGTAGGAATCCAAATTTATATAAGCTCCCAGTTAGAATTTCCTGACATCAAAAACTTAAGTGACTTTATATATATAACAAGTTCATTAAAAACTTCTGTTCAGGGTCAAAGCCACAGAGCCCTTCTCAGAAGTCACAGAGCTGGAAGCCACAGAACCCTCCTCAGAAACAGGAACATTCTCAGTAGTAGAAATCAGCTTGATGATAAGGAAAATATACAAGTTATATTCATGTCACCATAGAATCCAAATCATCAATGTGGCATTTCTCACCTCCCAGAACATCTTCCTAGTTTAGTTTTTCTCTGAGAATCGTCACGTCATGAATGTGCTACTAAGAGTCAGGAGAGCTGGACTTCAAAACACCAGCTTTGCCCATGACTAGCTTTGTGACTTTGAACACACTTTGAACACATCTGTAAACCTCTCTTGATCCCTGTTTTCTCAATCCCACAAGAGCACACACATACAAAATCTCATCTGAAAAATGCTGGGACTTGATTAGATGATCTCTAAAACCATTTTCCATTTATAACAACCTATTCTAAAACTAGGACTCATTTTATCCCTTAACAAAAATGTATAGGGCTAGAAATCCTCAAATTGTTGGAGTCCCCTAAGATGTAACAAATGCCCCTTGAATTTGAAACAGAGGTTCATGTTACACCAAAGCTTACAACCTTCAAATCAGGGTTATTTATTCCTGCTTTTTTCCAGTCAGTCAATAAAACTTATTGGACATCTGCTACATACCAGGCACTGTCTTGAGCCTAAGTGAACATCAGAGAGGGGGCAACAGGTTTAAAAGCCAGCAGCTGTATAAAGAAGTGGGAGATGGCAGAGAGAGCAGAGAAGAAAGAAAAAAGGAATATGTCAGCATATTTCTTCTGTTACCAAAACACTAGGGGTTTGGTCTAGGTCCCATTGCTCTCTGCACAGAAAGCCAATCACTGAGACAAGGAGTATTGCCAGGGAAGAAAGCTTATTCAAGTCCTGCATCTGAGGTGATGGGACGTTGGTCTCAAATCTATCTCCTCAACCAACTAAAAGTAGGGGTTTGCACAGCAAGGGAGAAATGTAACTGTGTGGAAAAATAGGAATTAGGGAGGAGTAAAGAAAAGGATTGGTCAACAGGAAGCTGGTGGTCAGTTAGGCAATCATGTCCAGGGAGGGATCTGGTGTCTCACTGTCCAGAGGCAGTGAACTGGTGAGTTTCAGTTCCATAATACTATCTGGGGAGCTTGCTGGTTGGTTTCCTGAGAAAGGAACTCAGATAAGACAAACGTCACTTTCTCAAGTTTTAAGACTGGAAAGGTCAATTTCTATGTTTATCCAAAATAAACCATAAACATCAGTTCTATGAGACAATTGCGCCAGTTTCACTTCCAGCACAGAAGCCTCAATTTATTTTTTTGCCATAAATACCAAAGAAGTTATAAGACACTAAGTGCTGAAAGGCAACTAGAAGAAGGTGTGCTTTTCAAAAGTTGACTATTATTTAGCAGTTTTAGGTTAATGGCAAAATTAAATGGAAAGTAGAGATTTTCCATGGACCCTGCCTCCCACATGTGCTCAGCCTCCCCAACATCTTGCATTGGGGTGGTACATTTGTTACAACTGATGAACCTAAAGGGATATGTGGTTGTGTTTATTTTTCAATGGATGAAACTCACATATAACAATGATCGCCAAAATACAAAATTGACATTTAATCTTTAGGATGTTTGACTAATCTGTTTCTCCCATTCTAACATTGGCTTTTAATCTTTAAGGAACCAGAGAGAAAAGAAATATGACCCAAGCTGCTTCTGAAAGTCTGGGGAACAACTGGTACACTACAGAGGCTCACATCAGGAGAAGAAAAAATCCCTTCAGCTACTGGAGTCTGAGCTACTTTGGGGTACTCTTTCTTCCAACTTTTCCCCTTCCTAACCCACTCCTCCCAGAACACATGTAGCCACACCAGACCAATCTTGTTCAACTTTTATGTAACAAAGTTGTGAGTTGCTTTTCAGTCACCATGGACCCCCAGGTTGAAGGTCATGTAACCTGAGCATGCCCAGATGAACCAAGCATGCCACTATGGGGAAATCTAAGTGCTCCAACAGAGGAGCAGGAACACGGGCTGTATTAAGTAGACACTGCATGGCAGGATCCAGGATCCAATCAGATTGAGTTCTGGCCTCACCTCATTGCAAGATCCAATCAGATCACACCTCATTACCCTATGCTTATAAAATCTGACCCAGCCCCCAGCTAAGGAAGACATTTTTGAGCATTTCCTTCTGTCTCCTTGACAGTCAACTTACAA
Organism: Homo sapiens; assembly: GCF_000001405.40. Classification (NCBI taxonomy): domain Eukaryota; kingdom Metazoa; phylum Chordata; class Mammalia; order Primates; family Hominidae; genus Homo; species Homo sapiens. The sequence continues at coordinate 75,925,601 of NC_000012.12, forward strand.
TAAACTTTTCTCACTGCAAAAACCCAGTGCTTCGGTGTTTGGCTTTCCATTGTGCATGGGTAAATGAACCCAGTTTGGTGTGGTAATACACACACACACACACACACACACACACAGTATCATTCTAACTCGGAGAGCCTCCATAAGATCTTTCTTTAACCAGGAGGTTGAGGACCATTTTCTAAGACCCCTCTTAGACCCTTGATAATCCTAATTTAGCCAGTACCCCAAGATGGGAACAAATACTATAGGGACTTTCAGAGCTAGGAGGCAACACACCTCTACAACAGGATGTTGTAAATTCTCCAAAACATGCATTTTCAAACTACATGAGACTTCCACCACCTAATCCACCAAGAATCAGATTCAGATACACCTCTGGAGTACCTACCACCCTCTTTCCTTTAGAATCACTTCCCTGGTAAGGCACAGAAGTTAAGTGGAAGTTGCTGAAATAAAATGACATGCTAAGAATCTCTGTTCTAGAAATCACTATCCACAATACAAATGTAGAAAATTAAAATAAATTCTTAATATTTCTCCATTCAGCTTACTATATACTCTAACCAAAATACTTTAATTAAAAGCTAAGTCTCCCGAGCCTGGCCAACCATGGTGAACCTGGGCCTGTCCTAAGTGGACAACACAGTGGCTACAAAGCCCCCGGCACCAGCATGGCCTTTGGCTTGCAGATGTTCATTCAGAGGAAGTTTCCATACCTTTTGTAGTGGAGCCTACTAGTGGCTGTGGTCTCAGGCTCCGTGGCCAGCTACAGGGTAACAATAGTGGAGTCAGAGAAATGCAACAACCTCTGGCTCTTCCTGGAGACCAGGCAGCTCCCCAAAGACATGAGCACAGATCAGCAAAGCTAGGAGAGTTCTATCCAGGGCACAGAGGATTGGGGGCAGGAGGAGGAGTCCTGGAACACAGTCTTCATGACCCCCAACTGCAGGCTGACCCTCCCCATACCCTAGGGTGCCCCAACCATATCCTCTGTCCACATGTGTGACCAGGCCTGACAAACCACTGCATTCAGCTGCTGCCCCAACCTGGGACCTCCCCAGGAGGTTGGAGCAGAAAGGGTTCTCCTTGGGGTGGTGGTTCTCCTCCAGGGTATCAGGACACATTATCTGCACTGCCAGCAGAGAGGGTGTGTCTGGGGAATGGGGTGGTAGGGGCTTGTGTACTCTGTCATTCCCTTTCTAACCCCTGGACCTCCGACAAGCCCAGGGTGACAGCTGGTGCTAGGGGTGTGAGGTTAATAAATGGCTTATCTGCCAGGCACAGTGGTTTACACCTGTAATCCCAGAACTTTGGGAGGCTGAGGCAGGTGGAGCACCTGAGGTCAAGAGTTTGAGACCAGCCTGGCCAACATGGTGAAACCCCATCTCTACTAAAAATACAAAAATTAGCCAGGCATGGTGGCGGGCACCTGTAATTCCAGCTACCTGGGAGGCTGAGGCAGGAGAATCGCTTGAATCCAGGTAGCAGAGGTTGAAGTAAGCCAAGATGGCACCACTGTACTCCAGCCTGGGTGACAGAGTGAGACTCTATCTCAAAAAAATAAAATAAAAATAAAAATAAGCTAAGTCTATACATTAAGTTAAAACCACAATTTTTAAAACCCCATAATCAATAATTATGTTCTGATATGATGAATATACATGACTTAGATCCTAAAACATAGCAGGAGATTGGCTCTGTATTAGTCTATTTTCACACTGCTATAAAGAACTATCTGAAACTAGGTAATTTATGAAGAAAAGAGGTTTAATTAACTCACAGTTCTGCAGGCTTAACAGGAAGCATGACTGGGAAGCCTCAGGAAACTTACAATCATGGTGGAAGGCAAAGGGGAAGCAAGGACCTTCTTCACCTGGTGGCAGGGCAGACAGAGAGCAAAGGGGGAAGTATCACACACTTTCAAAGAACCAGATCTCATGAGAACTCACTCACTATCACAAGAACAGCAAGGGGGAAGTTTGCCCCCACAATTCAATCACCTCCCACCAGGCCCCTTCCTCAACATGTGAAGATTACGATTCGATATGAGATTTGGGTAAGGACATAGAGCTAAACCATACCAGGCTCCCATTCAATGAGACAAAAAAATTAGTATGAATTTGTATGAAGAGTAAAAAGAACTCTTTGATAGATTCCACCTACATGCAAAAACTTTGTTTTATTTATCAGACATCATTCCAGCAAGGAATCCTATTTGAAGGCGTCACTAAGTTAAGAAAGGGGAAAACAAGGGCACAATAAATATGTGCAATCTTCATTCAAGTGCTAGTTTGTAATTCCAGTTCTCCTCTTCATGCTCTGCCTGATTTTTTTCTCCACTAGGTGGATAGGTAGGGGTACTAGAGATAGTAACTCTTGTTAGGATTTGAGCTCAGAAATCAGGACTGGATCTAAGGTGGGAAACTATGTTCTAGACCCAGATAGACTACAAGCTTTGTGACATTGATTAAGTTGTCATCCCTCTGGTCAAAGATCCTTATTTTAAAAAGGAAGTGCTGTACTATATGATCTCTAGGGTTCTTTCCACCCTTATAACCCCATTATCTGGGGATTTGAGGTATAACCAATCCAGGTGGTACACCAACCTGGGGCTTTCAATACTAAGGAATCTTCTAGAAAATTACTAATAGCCAATAAATATTTAAGTATACCATCTGCTATAGTTTGGATATGTGATCCTCCAAATCTCATGTTGAAATTTGATTCCTAATGTTGGAGGTGGGACCTAATGGGAGGTTGTTTGTGTCATGGAAGCCGATACCTCATGAATCTCTTAGTGCCTTCCTCACATTAATGAGTGAGTTTTTTCTTTATTATTTCCCCTCAAGAGTTTCTCCAAGTGCTGGTTAAAAAGAGCCTAACACCTTCCCTATCTCTTGCTTCCTCTCTTTCCCTGTAATCTCTGCACATGCCAGCTCCTCTTCTCCTTCCACCACAAATGGAAGCAGCCTAAAGCCCTCACCAGAAACAGATGCTGGCATCATCCTTCTTCTTCAGTCTGAAGAACTGTGAGCCAAATAAACCTCATATATATATATATATTTTTAGACAAGGCCTTACCCTGTCACCCAAGCTAGAGTGCAGTGGCATGATCACAGCTCACTGCAGCCTCAACCTCCTGGGCTGAAGTGATCCTCCCACCTCAGCTTCCCAAGTAGCTGAGACTACAGGCATGCACCAACACGCCCAGCTAATAAAGCTCTTTTTTTTACTAAATTACCCAGCCTCAGGTATTCCTTAATAGCAACATATACAGACTAAGAAACCATCCTAAACAACAAATTAGAGGCATGCTGTCCCTGAAATTCTGACTCTGGCCATTTATCCCTTCTTAGTATCAAGTAAATGCTCTTTAGTCAATTTTGGGTAATCAGTTTCTCAATCCCATCATTTCTGTTTCCTGGTTCACTGTCAGTCATTTTCTTGTGTATGTTAAAGGACAATTAGTGACTCTCTCTACATTATTTAATACTTTCCTGAAAGGTCTCTGCTGTGCTGATTGCAAAATGTGTAAACTCTTTCCTTTTTACTCATGCCCTTCTTTTCTTGTCTCTCTTCCCTTGCTATGTTTGTCCTGCATTTGTACCTCCCGTGTATAGCATTAATCTTGCTGCTGCTGCTGTCCCTGCATATGTTTTCTTCCAGGGGGCTTTCATGTAGTGCAGGTGGGCTCAAGACACTGTACTGACTTATCCCTAAGACATCACCTCTCTGCACTGCCTACCCATTCCCATCTCTCCCCATACACATATTTATCTCAGGTCCTCCTATTCTATAAGTAAAGATTTCAGGCAACCTGCTCTTAATGTCATTGATCAATTCCTAATTTAGCTAGATATCAGAAATTGGAGCCTCTTTAAGGCTAAATTCAGTCCATAGACATGTTATATCTGCCCCACATTATATTTTAACATCCACAAAAAGATCTAAGTGTCTGCTTTTGCAGCCCTGGACCCAGGTTTACTGCAGCAATCAGCTGGAGATGAGCATACCCTTCAGCTCACCACAATGCCCAGCCGAGGGCCAGGTGCCATTTATTCTCCCACTGGGCTACTGCCTTCCCATAACTACCCCCCGCACTTTACACTCCACCTGGTCCCTGGGGGCATTTCAAGTCACCACCTGAGGTCTCCATGATGAGAGAACTTCATATTTAACTAGGAAAACTATATGTGGTCTAGGCAGAGCAAGACTGGCTTTCTGGGCAAGTGTTACCAGAAAGACCATGAGAAAATTGGAGCTCAAAATTTCCAGATCTTTTACTATTTGAATCATCTTCAGACACAGAACCTACTCTTTATCTAGAATGTGGCTTATTGAGCTAGAAGTGACATCTCTTAAATACACAGACATTAGGGAAGGATAATGACAGGAAAGGAAGGAAAAGGTGAAGGGAGGAAGAAACAATATCTATAGAGGACAAGGAGTAATCTCCATATTAGTGATTTCAAAAATAAAGATTCCTTATACTTGCCAAAATGACATGCAAATATATAATAAAGCCCACTAAAAATATAGGCTCCGTCCTTTAGGTGTTTTTTTGTTTGTTTGTTTGTTTTGTTTTGTTTTTGAGATGGAATCTCACTCTGTTGCCCAGGCTGGAGTGCAGTGGTGCGATCTTGGCTCACTACAACCTCTGCCTCCTGGATTGGAGCATTCTCCTGCCTCGGCCTCTCGAGTAGTTGGTACAGGTGTGTGTCACCATACCAGCTAATTTTTGTATTTTTAGTAGAGATAGGGTTTTGCCATGTTGGCCAGGCTGGTCTTGAACTCCTGACCTCAGGTGATCCACCCACCTCAGCCTCCCAGAGTGCTGGGATTACAGGCGCTCATGAGCCACCGCACCCGGCCTGTCCTTTAGTTTCAACACATCAAAACAAACCCAGGGATAGATATGGGCAAACTTACTTTTCTTTCCTTGTTTTTAAATCAAATTTAAGTGAATATTTATATTTACTAGGCACAGAATTAGCATGTCTTTCTACTTTCCACTCATGGGCCTATGGAAGACATCACTAATAGTTTGGGACATCATTCCAAACTGAATCTCATAAGCCTTTATGTATGACACTGGACAGCCTAACACCCGGAGCTGCCTAGCGAGATGAAGCTGCTTCTCCCCCTGGCCCTAAGAGCCTTGTGACACCTTCTGAACACTAAGGAACAGCTCCCTAATATGTGTCATAGTGGGGATACAGTGGAAGGGAACACTGGGTGAAAACTAGCAAGAAATGTAAATTGAGGAAGACAGACAGGTTTTTCCCTGTACCTTTCTGTAAAGGAAAGTTAGATGCTTCCCAAAGACAGACAGTCAAATCTTTTTTTCCCTTGACATCCCTGATTCATGGAGGTGGCTAGGTTTATGTCTAGTTATACTCAGATAACTAATTGTCTCAAGTGTCTTAAGTGTCTGGTTGATGGTTGAAAGTAAGCTCTAGGGATAAGCAGTCTCTCAAGGAGTAGATTGTGGGATGGGGAGGCAGAAGGCCACAAAGGTACTATAGCTACATCTATGCAATTCATATGATCTCTACCACCTTACACCTCCATGCCCACTCACCCATGAGGCAGGGGGCATTTATATTGAACAGAGACCTATCTATAGCTGCAAAGGTTTATCTCAAATATGTACCTTGGCAGACAAAGGCGAAGAGAGACTTCTGGAGGAAGCCATTGTAAAAACACATAACAGAACTCACCACTTATTCCTCCTAAGCTTGTCTTGAATGTAGACATGAAAAAGACCAACCCAGCCCTCAGTACTACGTGAGGTTGCTGATACAAATTCAGCTAACACTTATTATCTTATTATCTGCCTTGCATTGTGGCAGAGGCTTTTTTAATCAATCATCTTACTTAATTCTCAAAACAACCTTATGTGCTAAGTCTTCTTAGAGCACATTATTCAGATGGTGATTTTGAGGTTGCCCAGTTAATCAGTAGCACAATTCTCAGCATGTAGCATGTAATCCTGAAATCAGCTTTGAATAGAGGTGACCCACTGATGACCAAAGTGTCCCATCAGCTCATAGATAGTCATCTGGGCTCACACAGTTTTTTTAATGTAGTGCTACATTTTAAAATCTGACATATTGGCTGGGCGCAGTGGCTCATGTCTGTAACCCTAGCACTTTGGGAGGCCAAGGCAGGTGGATCACGAGGTCAGGAGTTTAAGACCAGCCTGGCCAAGATGCTGAAACCCCGTTTCTACTAAAAATACGAAAATTAGCCCGGTGTGGTGGCACTCGCCTGTAAGCCCAACTACTCGGGAGGCTGAGGCAGGAGAATCACTTGAATCCGGGAGGCAGGGGTTGCAGTGAGCCGAGATCAAGCCACGGCACTCCAGCCTGGGTGACATCGCAAGACTCCATCTCAAAAAAAAAAAAAAAAATTACATATTCCCTTTAAAATATCAGGTTTCCCATTTCTTCTGAAAAGTGGGATGACCCAGCAACATTAGGCCCACATGTTGACAACTAACTGGAGCTAAAGAGAAAACAGCTGACTTGATCACACACACACACACACACACACGCACCCCTACATTCTGTGAATGCACACTCAATACATAAAACTGCCTCACTCACTACACAACCAGCCTGGATCCTGGCCATAGAATATACCTTTGTTCTTTGCTTATCCCGAACTCTAATTTAGTTCATCCTCCACTAATTTCCTACTTGGAGTCAACTGTTCACACTTATTCTCACTTCTTTTCAAAGTCCTCTTCTCTTTAACTAGCACTGTGGGCTTCTAGTCAGCTTCTCACCATGGTCCTTTCTACATTGTTGACACACTAAGTGGATGCCTCACCCATCTTCCAGCCCTGGAGTCATTGTTCAAAAGAGAAGCAGGATTTTCTGAGAGGTGGCTAAAGTTCAGGAGGCTGTCAAATTCCTGTGACACTAAAACCAGGAATATAGACTGATGATGGGAGATTAACACTTTCATAGCACCATCAGTTCCTATTTTCCTACAACCACATTCATTGCTATTTACCTATTTTTATCAGCCATTTTTGACCCTTCAGACCCAGAAAAGATTGGCAACTAAAATAAGCTATGCAAAAGAAAAATCCAAAGAATACTTTTTCCTCCTAAATTAGCAGACCCAACATATCTAAATATTAAACACCACCTAAAAACAAGGCAGTATTCAATAAAAATCTCTGCATTTCTTCCCACACTATCTACCCAGCAGGATGATACAAAAAATTATAAAGAAATAGAGTCCAAAATACAACGCTTGCATAAGTTTTAAAAGCATTGCTTGATATGCAAAGATACTAAAAAACAAAAGAAAAAATGTGCTATATTAAATGACAAGCAAAAACTTGATCGCTGTATGTTAATTATGTGTTATTCCAAAGAAATACAGGAAGAAAGGCTATAGCTGAAAGATCAAGAGTTGGCAGAATTGTTTATTGCTAAATTCTCTGTGAAGCAGCCTTATAAATGAGCCTTTCAGTAAATTCATTAACTAGCTGGTCTCAGTCTTAAACTGTCTGGCAAGGAATTGTGCTTATTGGCTAATAAGGCTAGCAACACCCTAAATGTGTTTGCTCATATACATTAATTCACTCAAAAAGTAATTAACGGGTCTAAAAGACTCAGTTCTGGGAGTCCTACTGACGTATGTGGTATAGCCATCCCATATTTTCCATGTTAACAAACTCTTTTCCATTGCATCTGGCTGAAGGCATCGCCTATCCTGGTGTTTATGACTCATGTAGTAGGGCCAAGACTGTTGCTCAAACAAGTTCTGATGGTTGAAACATTAGCCAGCAAGCCCCTTGGCCTCCCAGAAGCTCTAAGATGTCTTACTGTACCTCTTTCTCTGAATATCCTAAAATGCTGCTAACACTCGTCCCCCTGAACTATTATTGCTTTAACTGTATTTAAGGATGTTGCCTACAATTAGCTTTGAATATAGCAGTTTAGAGAGCAATATAAAAATGGTGTAAATGGTCAGTGAATGCATGAATGATCAATACATCAGAAAAGTGAAAAAAAAAAAAACTGGAACTGGTTAAAAGTTTTCAAAATAATTATTTCATAGGAACATTAATGAATACTTCATCTGGTCTCATGAAAAAGGAGTCAAGATCAAACAAAAGGAGTGTCTAATTATTAAACAACTATTTTTCTATGTTAGTGGAAACAAATCAAACTCTCAAACAATATGAAAACTATTTGTATACCTTTGGGAATATATATAAAAAAAATATGTGATGGATTCAGCTATGAAACAATGCTTTGTCTAACTGCCTGGTTACATGGTGCCTGAATAGAGGGTGAGGATGAGGAAAGAGATGACAAATCCACAGGAAATGATGAAAGAAATTCAGCCCAGGATTTGAAAATTACAATAAGTAATCTGCAATGCAGATAATCTACATAAAGAGTAAAGACAAATCACTGAAAACAGGCTGCATGCGGTGGCTCAAGCCTGTAATCCCAGCATTTTGGGAGGCCGAGGGGGGCAGATCACCTGAGGTCAGGAGTGCAAGACCAGCTTGGCCAACATGGAGTAACCCCATCTCTATTAAAATACAAAAATTAGCCGAGCATGATGATGGGTGCCTGTAATCCCAGCTACTCAGGAGGCTGAGACAGGAGAATCACTTGAACCCAGGAGATGGTAGCTGCAGTGAGCCGAGATCACACCACTGCACTCCAGCCTGGGGGGCTGAGCAAGACTCCATCTCAAAAAAAAAAAAAAAAAAAAAAAAAAAGAAAAGAAATTACTGAAAACAGCTAACTTCAAATTCAGCAAACTAAGTCAGATTCCGCTATGGCAAAGAGTTTGCCAAAAGTTATACTTTTGACCACAGTATTAGAATAGGAAGGAAGTAATACTGAAGACAAAATTCACTAAAATATTTTGGTTTCAGTTGGAACAAAAACATTCTCCTTTAAGGAACTGGTATTGTGGAGACTTGATGATATTCTAGGAAATGAAATGAGATAATGTTTTCGAAATAGCCCCACGATAATGTCAATGAGTAATTTCAGTTCTTATCACCATATGATGTGGTTAGTGAGCAGTACTGATACGGAGGGGAAAAAAAAGGTGTCAGAATGTTAAAAAAAAAAAAAAAAAAAAAAAGCCTCCCTCTCTCAGGAAAACAGCAATCAACAGCTACTGCTGCTGGACAAAAACCTAACACTTCTCAGTCATGGGGGAAAAATGTCTGAAAATGAGTTTCACTGTTTCTCAGCAAATGTTGGCTTAAATATCTTGGCTGTGCCCATCAGAATACCTATGCCCAGCTTCATAATCATAAAGAAAACAGGATTCCAGGTCATTTGTGCTACAAGAGACTCAAAAGGTCATTTGGCCCATGTCCAAATTGACACTAACTTTTCTCTATTACACAGCACACAAACTGCAGAGTCAGATCTATGGAACCAGGTCTTTCTCCTCTTCCTTGATCTATTTCTCTTCTTCTTTTAAAAATAACATAGATTGGCCAGGCATGGTGGCTCATGCCTGTAATCCCAGCACTTTGGGAGGCCAAGGCAGGTGGATCGCCTGAGGTCAGAAGTTCGACCCCAGTCTGGCCAACATAGTGAAACCCCATCTCTACTAAAAATACAAAAATTAGCGAGGCATGGTGGTGCATGCCTGTAATCCCAGCTACCGGGGGGCTGAGGCAGGAGTATTGCTTGAACCTGGGAGGAGGAGGTTGCAGTGAGCCGAGATCGTGCCACTGCACTCCAGCCTGCGCAATAGAGTGAGACTCTGTCTCAAATAAAAAAAAAATTAAAATAAAATAAAAATAACATAGATCAGGGTAGAAATATTGCTGAAGCTCAGTTGCAAATCTACGAAAGTACAAAAAGCTACCCACCTTGGTTCCATTTTCTCACCTCCCATTTACTTCTCACATAGTGTAACTGTCTCTGGGACACTTTTTATCCCTGCCTATTTCAGAGGTTTCAAATTTTCTTCAATGGTTCCTCTTGCCCCCAGGCCAGAGGTAGGGGCTCCCTTGGCTCAGCTTCTATAGCAACCTCCTCATACCTGTGTCACAGACAGTATTTATTATCTTGTTATTGTTGTTGCTTTAGAGACAGTCTCCGTTGCCCAGGCTGGGGTGCAGTGGTGTGATCATAGCTCACTGCTGACTCTAACTTCTGAGCTCAATTGATGCTTCTGCCTCAGCCTTCCCAGTAGTTGGGACTACAGGCATGCACCACTGCACCCAGCTAATTCTTTTATTTTTTGTAGAGATGGGGTCTCACTATGTTGCCCAGGCTGGTCTCGATCTCCTGGCCTCAAGCAATCCACTCGCCTCTGCCCCCCAAAGCTCTGGGATTATAGACATGAGCCAACACACCTGGCCTACTTTGTTTTTTAACCATCCTGTAATCTTCCTATCTCTTACCACACTCACAACACTGTGACTTCTTGGAAACAGTGATTTTGTCTTATTTATCTTTGTGAATGCCATTACACCCAGCCCATAGTGAAGATCAATAACTGTTTACTGAATAAATAAATAAATGTTACAAACTTTTGATCCTCTGAATGCTGGGAAAAAGGAGACAGCCAAAGTAACATGATGACACAGGATAATATATCTAGGCTATCTAAATATTTTTCAAGCAACAAAAGATCCCAATTTGGTGCTACACAATTTTTGCAATTAAAAAAAATCATGAAAGAAACTGCTAACTCTCAGACAGCAAATTATGCCCATTGCTTAAAATTCAATTAGCCTCTGCCTTTCCTCTTACTAGCCTCTCTGCCCCAAATGCCCCCTCTACAATTTATTCCCTGCCACCCATGTTCAAGGCTCAGCTCCTACATCAGTCCTCCACAGGACTTTCCTTGACCCCTTTGCAGATCCCAGTGTCCTTTATCATACCCTCCTCTGAGGTCTCACAGCATTTTATCTCTACCTCTCTTATTTGCCTCTTTACTGCTTGCATTTTACTTATTAGATATTTTATCTCCCCTGCCTCACTGAGCAACTTAAGAGAAGGGTTTCTATATACTCTGAAGATGCCTAACATAGCACCTTGCCCAAGGCAGAGCCTTAGTAAACAGTTTTCCAATTGCTAAAACAGGAAGTTCAGATTCCTTTCTTAAAGGCAGTAAGACACAAACAAATCATCATCTGCAAAATGAAGAGGAAGTCCTTTCCAGCTGGGACATTCCATGACCTGGGGAGCCAGGTCTGAACACTGGCCAGGACCACAGATACATCAATAGGTAAAGGACAGAGTAAAGCAGTGAGCATGGCCTATCATGAGAGATGTTTCGAGGCAGATAGATAAGGAGAGCACCTAACTTGGACCGGGGATTAGAGAGGAATTTCTAGTAGAGGTGACCCCCCTTTGACCTTAGCTAGAAGGTTGAGTTAAACAAAGGAAAGGAAGAACATTCTAATTGGAGCAGGCAGCATGGGCACAGGCTTAAGAAAATAGACCCTTTTCGGAAATGCAAGGAGTTGGGTTGTAGGAAAGGAGATGGGGAATGGCTGAAGAAGATGAAGAGGTAAGACTTCCCCAAGTAAAAAGAGCTTTATATATTCGCTCCCACACTTCTTTGTTTCACTGGAGGAATGGAAAGCTATTGGAGGGTTTCTTGCAGCATGGTAACCTGATTGCTCGGGGAGTAGTGTGGGAAGAAGATCAAAGGATCCTATATAGGAGGGAGAATGCCCTGTCATGGCCATTGCAGCAATCTATGTAAAATATGAGGAGCTTTGGGGAGGAGAACATGAAAAGAGAGTAATGTTAAGATTAATATCACTTGGTGGTTCATTAGACATGGGAGTAAAGATAGCAAGGAGACAGAGGAAGGCATCAAAGATAATTACCAAATTTCTGGCTCAGGCAACTAGGTAGACAGGGCTATCATTCACAGAGATAGACAATGCAGGAAGGAGAATAAATTAAGTGGGAAGGATCCATCTTTAGCTATGTTGAGTCTGAGTTGTCCAAGGAACATTAAATGTTTGTCCAATAGGCAATGGGTTACAGAGGTCCAGTTCACACTAGAAAGATTTCAGAGCCATTCATAGGAATAGATGAGATCATGCAGGGAAATGGTATAGAACTCACAAAATACTTAAGGCAGAAAGAGGAAGAAAAACCTTCAAAGAAATTGTGAAGTTGCCATCAGAGAGGTAGGAGAAAAACCAAGACAGGCCAAAGCTAGAGAATGTTTCAAGAACCAGTGCATGGCCAACACTGCAAAACACGGCAGAGATTTCAAATGAGATAAAGACTCAAAGGATGCCCACTGCATTTAGCCCAGAGGAGGTTTTTGGGGAGCTTGGAAAGCAAAGCACTATTTCTGAGGAGTGACAGAAACCAAAGCCAGGCAGTGGATTAGGGAGTACATGGAAGTTAAGAAAGTAGAAAAAAAATGAATTTAGAGAATTTTATAGAAGTTTGGCTTTGAAAGGAAGATGAGAGATGGAACCAAAATTAGAATGATACACAGGCCTGAAAATCTGCGGGTATAGGTGTATGTCAGTGCTGGGGGACTATTACTTGGTTGGTTAGTTTGTTTGTATAGTTGAGAGAGCCTTGAACATGTTTATATACTGACAGGAAAAAGTCAGGGGGAGATAAAGATGCCAAAAAGGGAGGATTAAAAAATGAAATGCACTCCCTAAGTAAGGAGGGAACCAGGGCACTGATGGAAGAATTAGCCTTAGATGGGAGTAAGAGACTACTTTCCTTAGAGACTAGCAGAGGAGGGAATGATGTATGCAGATGTTAATCAGGTTACAGACAGAAGGGCAGGGAGTTAAGGGACTCTTCCCATAAATACTGATCAGCTGTCAAGAATGAGAGTTGGTCATAGTAACGCAGTAACGGTTTCAAAAAGCAGACATGAGACCCTGTGTGTACACATACACACACACACACACATACACACACAGAGCAAGAAAAAAGAGAAAAGGAGGGGGAAACTTTACTTTAAAAAACTTAACAGACATGTCAACCCATCACAATAACATGTGCTTCATTTGGATCATGATTCAAACAGACTTTAAAAAATCAAAAGGCAATTTGGGAAATAAGAAAATTGCCTGCAGGTCTGCTGGTGTTAGGAAATTACTGTTAACTTTTTTGTTTAGATAATGCTGTTGTGGTTAATTTTTTAAGTGCCCTCATCTTTTAGACTACGCACAATATTTACAGATAAAATAATATGGTGTCAAGGATTTGTTTTAAAGCAATCTGGGGGTAGGATAAAGGCCCTAAATTAAACAAGATTGGCTGTAAGCTGAGTGATAGATATATAAAAGTTTATCAGACTATTCTCTCTTTTATATATATCTGAATTTTTCCATAATAAAAATTTTTAAACCAAAAATATATATTTTTATAAGCCAGAAGAAAAAGCAATGAAATCATGGGAAATGAAAGAAAGATACAACTGAAAGCATACAGAAAGATTACGGTGAAGCATTGTAAGTCTGGCTAAAGATGAAGACAATAAATTTGTTGTGACAAAGTCAAGTGACTTTTTTTCCTAGCAGCATTCAGAAGCCTTGATGTGAAAGCGAAAAAGCTGCATTGGTACAGAGTACAGATCTTAAAGGATATGACCACAGAAAAAGATGCAAAGGATATGATGGTATTAACCAGGGACAAATTCAAGCAGTAAGCCAGCATCCTGTTTAGACTGGATAGGAAGAGAAGGAAAACACGGAAGCGACTGATAGACTCAAAGAAAAATGAAACTCGCCATCCTGCATAGCTGGAAAATGGGGGTGAGAAAGCTGGGAGGATGGGAGGCTGTGGGTAGCAAGCCAGTCTTTAGAGTTTAAGATGTCAGTTCTGACTGATGACAAGGTCAAGTGTAATTGTAAATGCCTATGAAGTGCCTATGTGAAAGGATGGCTGAAGTGGAAAGGAGGTGAAAGTCAAACAAAATTAAGAAGGTTATGAAATTGTGAGATGGCTGCTGGATGGGTGCTAACAGAACCCTAAAATGTCCCATAATGATGATGATAGGTTATAAATTCCATAAAGACAAGCATTGTGTCTGTCTGTCTCTCTGTCTCTGTCTCTCTGTCTCTGTCTCTCTCTCTCTCTCTCTCTCTCTCTAAACATATGCCCAGCATCTGGTACAGTACTTGGCATAGAGAAGATATTTTTATTTAATTTTATTTATTTATGTACTTATTTGAGGCAGGGTCTCACTCTGTCACCCAAGCTAGATGGAGTACAGTGGCACATTCATAGCTTACTGCTAGCCTCCTGAGTAGCAAGGACTACAGGTGCACTTTACCACACCCAGCTAATTTATTTTAATTTTAATTTTTGTAGAGATATCTGCAGCCTCTGGGCTCAAGCAATGCGCCAATCTTGTCCTCCCAAGGTGCCAGGATAATAGCTGTGAGCCACTGCACCCAGCCACGAAGATGTTTATAAAATATTTGGAGAATGCATGGTGTACGTGGGAGGACTAAGTAATTCTTTAATTTCAAATTTCCATTCACCATCAGTTAGTTGATGAGTTTGGGAGCAAGAGGAAGGGTTGAAAAGAACAAGTGAATGAATATGCACCAAAGCATATTCGGAAAGCAAAAGAAATATTAAAGGAATAAAAAGTAGAACGTATGAGACAAACTCAAAGGAGTTCACTTTTTTTTTTTTTTTTTTTGAGACAGAGTCTCGCTCTGTCACCTAGGCTGGAGTGCAGTGGCGCGATCTCCACTCACTGCAACCTCCGCCTCCCGGGTTCAAGCAATTCTCTGCCTCAGCCTCCCGAGTAACTGGGATTACAGGCACCCACCACCACGCCCGGCTAATTTTTTTGTTATTTTTAGTAGAGATGTGGTTTCACCATCTTGGCCAGGCTGGTCTTGAACTCCTGACCTCATGATTCACCTGCCTCAGCCTCCCAAAGTGCTGGGATTACAGGCATGAGCCACCACGCCTGGCCAGGAGTTCACTTTAATATTGGTTTGTACCCAAACTACTGTACAAGCTGTGACTAGATTAATAATTGTCTTTGAGTGCAGGAGAGTTATTTTAAGGAGGTGAAAACAAGAGAAGATTGTTTGCCTAGTGCCCTGGCCGGATGCTGTTTTGCTGGGAAGACGGAGCCAGGTCTAAATGGGATTGTTCTGGATCACACCAGCCTGAGGTCATCTCTGGTTCAGAAGCTGATGGGCAGGGCAAGGAATCCTGGCCTCTAGGAAACCCTTTAACTGTGTAGTTAGATAAAATAAACTCCTCACCCTGCATTCGTCTGCCTGCCCAGGAGTCTCTAGAACAAACCTGAATTTTTGAGAATCTAGTAGGCTCTTGTAACCGAAAACATAAACCACCACCATTTCTTCATCAACCCAGAAAACAGTGAGAGATTAAGTGGTTTAAATTGAAGAAGTGGCTCTCCCTCTCCCTCTCCCTCCCCCTCCCCCTCTCCCCCCTCTCCCTCTCCCCACGGTCTCCCTCTCCCTCTCTTTCCACGGTCTCCCACTGATGCCGAGCCGAAGCTGGACTGTACTGCTGCCATCTCGGCTCACTGCAGCCTCCCTGCCTGATTCTCCTGCCTCAGCCTGCCGAATGCCTGCGATTGCAGGCGCGCGCCACCACGCCTGACTGGTTTTCGTATTTTTTTGGTGGAGACGGGGTTTCGCTGTGTTGGCCGGGCTGGTCTCCAGCTCCTAACTGCGAGTGATCCGCCAGCCTCGGCCTCCAGAGGTGCCGGGATTGCAGACGGAGTCTGGTTCACTCAGTGCTCAATGGTGCCCAGGCTGGAGTGCAGTGGCGTGATCTCGGCTCGCTACAACCTCCACCTCCCAGCCGCCTGCCTTGGCCTCCCAAAGTGCCGAGATTGCAGCCTCTGCCCGGCCGCCACCCCGTCTGGGAAGTGAGGAGCGTCTCTGCCTGGCCGCCCATCGTCTGGGATGTGAGGAGCCCCTCTGCCTGGCTACCCAGTCTGGAAAGTGAGGAGCGTCTCTGCCCGGCCGCCATCCCATCTAGGAAGTGAGGAGCACCTCTTCCCGGCCGCCATCCCATCTAGGAAGTGAGGAGCGTCTCTGCCCGGCCGCCCATCATCTGAGATGTGGGGAGCACCTCTGCCCCGCCGCCCCGTCTGGGATGTGAGGAGCGCCTCTACCCGGCCGCAACCCCGTCTGGGAGGTGAGGAGCGTCTCTGCCCAGCCGTCCCGTCTGAGAAGTGAGGAGACCCTCTGCCTGGCAACCGCCCCATATGAGAAGTGAGGAGCCCCTCCGCCCGGCAGCCACCCCGTCTGGGAAGTGAGGAGCATCTCTGCCCGGCAGCCACCCCATCCGGGAGGGAGGTGGGGGTCAGCCCCCGCAAGGCCAGCCGCCCCGACCGGGAGGGAGGTGGGGGGGTCAGCCCCCCGCACGGCCAGCCGCCCCGTCCGGGAGGGAGGTGTGGGGGTCAGCCCCCCGCCCGGCCAGCCGCCCCGTCCGGGAGGTGAGGGGCGCCTCTGCCTGGCCACCCCTACTGGGAAGTGAGGAGCCCCTCTGCCCGGCCAGCCGCCCCGTCCGGGAAGGAGGTGGGGGGGTCAGCCCCCCGCCCGGCCAGCCGCCCCATCCGGGAGGGAGGTGGGGGGGTCAGCCCCCCGCCCGGCCAGCCGCCCCGTCCGGGAGGGAGGTGTGGGGGTCAGCCCCCCACCCGGCCAGCCGCCCCGTCCGGGAGGTGAGGGGTGCCTCTGCCCGGCCGCCCCTACTGGGAAGTGAGGAGCCCCTCTGCCCGGCCAGCCGCCCCGTCCGGGAGGGAGGTGGGGGGGGGGTCAGCCCCCTGCCCGGCCAGCCGCCCCATCCGGGAGGTGAGGGGCGCCTCTGCCTGGCCGCCCCTCCTGAGAAGTGAGGAGCCCCTCTGCCCAGCCAGCCGCCCCGTCCAGGAGGGAGGTGGGGGGGTCAGCCCCCCGCCCGGCCAGCCGCCCTGTCCGGGAGGTGAGGGGCGCCTCTGCCCGGCCGCCCCTACTGGGAAGTGAGGAGCCCCTCTGCCCAGCCACCACCCCGTCTGGGAGGTGTACCCAACAGCTCATTGAGAACGTGCCATGATGACAATGGCGGTTTTGTGGAATAGAAAGGGGGGAAAGGCGGGGAAAGGATTGAGAAATCGGATGGTTGCCATGTCTGTGTAGAAAGAGGTAGACACGGGAGACTTTTCATTTTGTTCTGTACTAAGAAAAATTCTTCTGCCTTGTGATCCTGTTGATCGGTGACCCTACCCCCAACCCTGTGCTCTCTGAAACATGTGCTGTGTCCACTCAGGGTTAAATGGATTAAGGGTGGTGCAAGATGTGCTTTGTTAAACAGGTGCTTGAAGGCAGCATGCTCGTTAAGAGTCATCACCGGCCGAGGCGGGCGGATCACGAGGTCAGGAGATCGAGACCATCCGGGCTAAAACGGTGAAACCCCGTCTCTACTAAAAATACAAAAAATTAGCTGGGCGCAGTGGCGGGCGCCTGTAGTCCCAGCTACTTGGGAGGCTGAGGCAGGAGAATGGCGTGAACCCGGGAGGCGGAGCTTGCAGTGAGCCGAGATCCCGCCACTGCACTCCAGCCTGGGCGACAGAGCGAGACTCTGTCTCAAAAAAAAAAAAAAAAAAAAAAAAAAGAGTCATCACCACTCCCTAATCTCAAGTACCCAGGGACACAAACACTGCGGAAGGCCGCAGGGTCCTCTGCATAGGAAAACCAGAGACCTTTGTTCACTTGTTTATCTGCTGACCCTCCCTCCACTATTGTCCTATGACCCTGCCAAATCCCCCTCTGTGAGAAACACCCAAGAATGATCAATAAAAAAATAAAAATAAAAATAAAAATAAACAAAAACAAAACTGGACACCCTACTACCCATACCCAGTTTAAGATACAGATTACAACCAACACCGTTAAAGCCCTTTTGCATGCCCTTCTCCATCCCAGCCCCCTCCTAAATTTTGTTTATAATGATCTCGCTTTTCTTCATAATTTTACCTCCAAAATATGCATCTGTAAACAATATGCTGTTTTTGCAAGCTTTTGAACATTATATAAAATAAATCATACTGCATATAAAAAAATAAAATAAAATAAATTGAAGAAGTGATTCAGAAAAGGCGTAAAGAAGAACCTTAAAATCAAAAAAGGATTAGACATTAAATCAGGTTACAGATGAAATTCTTGTTAATGACAATCTCAAATATTGGACAACCTTATGTTTTACATAAATTCTCACATCACTATCACAGCAGCACAAGGATCCAGGTATTATGATTCCCATCTATAAGTGAGGAAATAGACTTAAGATTAAATGACTTGCCCAAGAGTATGCACCAAGCCAGGTCTAGCTGACACTAAAGCACGCACTCCTAACCTCTCCACTAAGCTGCTTTGTTGAACTCTGTGAAGGAAATCATAGGATGTAAATATAGCTCCATCTAGACAGACAAGAAGACATGAGATACCAGTGGTGGGATGTCTGAGATTCTGAGGAGTTAGAAATGAAGGAGAGGAAATTTTTATACCCTCTCTCTGGTCCCTGGTCTTATATTTATGAAATTCCTACTTTCAGCAAAGAAAAAAGTCTGAATGGGGGACCTGCTAAGAGCAGAGAAAATCCCCCCAGGGATCATTTTAGGCCACTGCTTATAAAAGAACAAAAATAAAATGGGAGGAACTCCAGAACCAAAGTCCTAGAGTCCCTATTTGCTTGTGAATGAAAGAGACTAGTATGTAAATAAGAGCTTTGCATAAGCCAGACATTCTTTCAAGTCCAGTTTATCTGCAGTATGAGTCACTTCCTTTTTAAAAGCAAGAACTAAAAGAGAAAGAGGCACATAGTCATTACCCAGCACAAACCTTCTTAACAGACCTTTTCTTCCTATTCAAATTGCAAGAAGGTAAAAGACTCTTGCTCTAACAAAACAGCAACATCATTTTGCATATAGTGTATACACTGTTTGGCCAGTTAATACCCTCCTTCAGCAGAGGGAAATGAACAAGTGAGATTAACAGGCAGATGAGATGATACAAAGCAAGCACAGGTCCAGCCAGGGTTAACCTGACACAAAGGAATCTGAATAACAAGAAGCCTTTGAATGACTCAGGTAAGGTTTATCTCCTCCAAAAGGAAGTTAACACCATGTTACTCACAGTAGCAAAATTACTCATGAACTTTGGAGGAAGTCTCAGAGAAGGCTATGGTCAGAAAATGGAAAAGGAAACAAGCCACAGGCTCATCTTCAGATGAGGACTCTGCACAGGGCTTGACCTTTCAATCGAAGAACAACCACAGTAGTATTCTGAGATGGCCAAGTGTATGGGAAAGTGACTGCTTCTCTCCCACTCCAATGTCTACTGTAAGTCTTGTTCAGCCCCGAGACAGATTTACCAGAGCTGATTCATTTTG